>NC_000023.11:34092126-34242483 GCF_000001405.40 Homo sapiens
CCAGAGGCAATCACTTTTATGCAAAGGAAGACAGGAAAGAAGTAAAGAGAGGACCAACAAAACAACCAGAAATCAAATAACAAGATGGCAGTAGTAAGTCCTTACTTACCAATAATTAACATTGCATGTAAAAGTACTAAATTTCCAGTGAAAAGACAGAGTGGGTGCATGGATTGAAAAAGAAGACCTAATTCTGTGCTTCCTACAAGAAACTAATTTCACCTATAAAGACCCAGGAAGAATGAAAATAAAATGATGAAAAAAGATAGTCTATGAAAATGGAAACCAAAAAAGAATAGGAATAGCTATATTTATATCAGCCAAAATGGAGTCCAAGACAAAAATTATATAAACAGACAAAAAGGTCATTATATAAAGACAAAGTGGTCAGTTCAGCAAGAAGATACAACAGTTGTAAATATATGTGTACCCAACCCTGGGGGACTGAGATATATGAAGCAAATATTATCAGAGCAAAAGAGAGAAATAGACACCAATACAATAATAGCTGGGGACTTCAACACCCCACTTTCAGAACTGGACACATAATATAGACAAAACAATTAACAAAGAAACACTGGACTTAACCTGTGCTATAGACTAAATAGACCTAACAGACATTTACAGAACATGCATCCAAAAACCGCAGAATACACATTCTTCTCCTCAGCAGCACATGGAACATTCTCAAGGATAGACCATATTTTAGGCCATAAACAAGGCTTAAAGATTCAAAAAAATTTAATTATGTCTAGTGTTTTTTACTGACTAAAACGGAATAAAACTAGAAATTAACGACAGGAAGAATTCTGGAAACTATAAAAACACATAGAAATTAAACAATATACTCCTGAACAATGATTGGGTAAAAGGTGATATTAAGAAGAAAATTTTAAAAGTTCTTGCAAAAAATGAAAATGGAAATATCACATAAAAAAACCTATGCAAAAGCTGTACCAAAAGGGAAACATACAGCAATGCCCACATCAAAAAAGTAGAAAAATTTTAAATAAACTACTGATGCATCTTAAAGACATATACCAGAAAGAGCAAACGAAGCTCAAAATTAGTAGAAGAAAAGTAAAGGACAGAGCAGAAATAAATATGATTGAAAATAAAAAAATATGAAAGATTAATGAAACGAAGAGTTTTTTAAAAGATAAAATCAACACACCATTAACCAGCCTAATTAAGAAAAAAGAGAGAAGATCCAAAAAAATAACATCAGAGATAAAAAAAAGAGACATTACAACTGACAGCACAGAAACTTAAAGGATTATTAAAGAATATTATGAGAAACCATGTGCCAATAGATCAGAAAACCTAGAAGAAATAATAAATTACTGGACACATAAAACCTACTAAAATTGAACCATGAAGAAATCCAAAACCTCAATACAAAAATAACAAGTAATGAGATAAAACAGCAATAAAAAGTCTCCCAGTACAGATAAGCCCAGGACCTGATGACTTCACACTAAATTCTACCAAACATTTAAAGAACTAATACGAACCCCTACACAAGCTATTTCAAAACTGTGAGGAGAAGGAAATATTTCTAAACTTATTCCATAAGGCCAGTGTTATGCTGATACCAAAACCAGGCAAAGGAAAATGAAAGGCCAATATATCTCATGAACAGAGATGCAGAAATCCTCAACAAAATACTAAAAAACCAAATTCAGTAACACATAAAAAAGATCAACATTATCAAATGGGATTCATCCCAGGGATGCAAGTGTGGCTCAACATGAACAAATCAATAAATGTGATACAACATATTAACAAACTGAAGGACAAACATCATATGATCATTTAAATAGATCCTGAAAAACAATTTGAGCAACTTCAATATCCTTTCATAATAAAAACTCTCAACAAACTCGGTATAGAAGGAACATACGTCAACATATGAGAAAAGCCATATATGACAAACCCAAAGTTAGTTTCATAATGAAAAAGGAAAACTTGAAAGTGATTCTGTAAGTTCTGGAATGCAATAAGGGTGACCATTTTTACCACTTTTATTCAACATAGTACTAGAAGTCCTAGCCAGAGAAATTAGACAAGAGAAAGAAATAAAGGAGATCCATATTGGAAATGAAAAAGCTAAATTATCTTTGTTTGCATAGGCTATAATCTTATATTTAGAGAAAACTAAAAATTCCACCAAAAAAACTATTAGAACTGATAAATTTAGGAAAGTTGCAGAATACAAAACCAATGTACAGAAATCAGTAGCATTGTGATATGCCAAAAGTGAACAATCTGAAAAAGAAGCCAGGAGAGTAATCCTATTTATGGTAGCTACAAATAAAATAAAATATCTAGGAATAAACTTAGCCAAAGAAGTGAAAGATCTCTATAGTGAAAACTGTCAAACGTTAATGAAAGAAATTGAAGAGGACACAAGGAAATGAAAAGATAGTCAGTTTGCATACATTAGAAGAATCAACACTGTTAAAATGTACATACTACGCAAAGCAATCTTCAGATTCAATGAAATCCTTATGAAAATATCTATGACATTTTCTACAGAAATAGGAAAAAAAAATGCCAGAATTTATATGGAACTACAAAAAATTCAGAATAGCCAAAGCCACCCTGATCAAAAAGAACAAAGCTGGAGGAATAATATTACCTGACTTCAAGTTACGCTACAAAGCTGTAGTAACCCAAATAGCATGGTACTGGCATCAAAAGAGACACATAGACCAATGGAACAGAATAGAGAACCCAGAAATAAATCCATACATTGACAGTGAACTCATTTTCGACAAACTTGCCAAGAATCTAGACTCAGAGCAATTAGACAAGGGAAAGAAATAAACGGCATCCAAATTGGAAAAGAGAAAGTCAAACTATCTCTGTTTGCAGATGATATGCTTATTTACCTAGAAAATCCTAAAAACTCCTCCAAAAGACTCTTAGATTTGATAAATGAATTCAGCAAAGTCTGTGATTACAAAAAGAATGTACACAAATCAGTAGCACTGCTATGCACCAGCAATGACCAACCTGAGAATCAAAGCAAGAACACAATCCCTTTTACAACAGCTGCAAAATAAAATTAAATTAAATTAAAATAAAATAAAATAAATAAATACCTAGTAATACACTAAATGAAGGATGTGAAAGAGCTCTACAAGGAGAACTACAAAACACTGCTGAAATAAATCATAGATAACACAAACAAATGGAAACGCATCCCATGCTCATGGATTGGAAGAATTGTGTCTGGAATTGGTTCCTTCTGGTGGGTTCTTGGTCTGGCTGACTTCAAGAATGAAGCCGCGGACCCTTGCGGTGAGTGTTACAGTTCTTAAAGATGATGTGTCTGGAGTTTGTTCCTTCAGATGTTCAGATGTGTCTGGAGTTTCTTCCTTCCAGTGGGTTTGTGGTCTCGCTTGACTTCAGGAGTGAAGCCGCAGACCTTCCCAGTGAGTGTTACAGCTCTTAAAGGTGGCACGTCTGGAGTTGTTTGTTCCTCCCTGTGGGTTTATGGTCTCGCTGACTTCAGGAGTGAAGCTGCAGACCTTCGCGGTGAGTGTTACAGCTCATAAAGGTAGTGTGGACCCAAAGAGTGAGCAGCAGCAAGACTTATTCTGAAGAGCAAAAGAACTGGAAGGGGACCCGAGGAGGTTGCCGCTACTGGCTGGGGTGGCCAGCGTTTATTCCCTTATTTGGCTCCATCCACATCCTGCTGATTGGTCCATTTTACAGAGCGCTGATTGGTCCATTTTACAGAGTGCTGATTGGTCCGTTTTTACAGAGTGCTGATTGGTGCATTTACAAACTTTTAGCTAGGCACAGAGCGCTGATTGGTGTGTTTTTACAGAGTGCTGATTGGTGCGTTTACAAACCTTTAGCTAGACAGAAAAGTTCTCCAAGTCCCCACCCAACCCAGAAGCCCAGCCAGCTTCACCTCTCAGGATCAATATTGTGAAAACAACCATAACCATCCAAAGCAATCTACAGATTTGATGCAATTCCCATCAACATACCAGCATCGTTTTTCACAGAATTATAAAGAACAATCCTGAAGTTCATATGGAACCAAAAAAGAGGCCAAATAGCCAAAGCAATCCTGAGCAAAAATAACAAATCTGGAGGCATCACATTACTGGACTTCAAATTATACTACAAGGTTATATTTTCCAAAACAGCAGGGTAATGATATAAAAGTAGGCATATAGACCAATGGAACAGAATAGATTACCCAGAAATAAATCGAAGTATGTACAGCCAACTCATCTTTGACAAAGCATACAAAAATATTAATTGGGGGAATGGACACCTTATTTAATAAATGGTACTGGAAAAGCTGGCAAGTCACATGTAGAAGAATAAAACTGGATCACTATCTGTCACCTTATACAAAAATCAGTTCAGGATGGATCAAAGACTTAAATATAACACCTGAAACAATAAAAATTCTAGAAGAAAATATTCGAAAAACTCTTCCAGACATCAGCCTAGGCAAAGAATTCATGCCTAAGGCCCCAAAAGCAAATGCAACAAAAACAAAAATAAATAAATGAGACCCAATTAAACTAAAAAAGCCTCTTCATAGCAAAGGAAACAATAATCAAGTAAACACACAATTCACAGAGTGGGAGAAAATATTTGTAAATTACAGATCTGGCAAAGAACTACTACCCAGAATTTACAAGGAACTCAAATCAGCAAGAAAAAATAATAATAATAATCCTATCAAAAAATGGCCAAAGAACATGAACAGACATTTCTCAAAAGAAGAGACACAAATGTTCAACAAACACATGAAAAAATGCTCAACATCACTAATCATAAGGGAGCTGAAACTTAAAACCACAATAAGACATCACCTTACTCCTACAAGAATGGCCATTATTTAAAAGTCAAAAAATAATAGATGTTGGCATGGATGTGGGGAAATGAGAATGCTTATATACACTGCTGGTGGGAATGTAAATTAGCACAACCTCTATGGAAAATGGTATGGAGATTCCTTAAGGAGCTAAAAGTAGATCGATGATTTGATCCAGCCATCTCACTACTGGGTATCTACACAAAGAAAGAAAAAAAGTCACTATATGAAAAGGACACTTGAACATGTATGTTTATAGCAGCACAATTCACAATTGCGAAGATGTGGAACCAATCTAAGTACCCACTGACTCATGAATTGATAAAGAAAATGTGTTATATATACACCATGGAATACTGCTAAGCCATTAAAAAGGAACGAAACAATGTATTTTGCAGCAACTTGAATGGAGCTGGGGGGCATTATTCCAAGTGAAATAACACAGGAGTGAAAAATCAAAAATTGTATGTTGTCACTTATAAGTAAAAGCTAAGCTATGAGTATGCAAAGGTAAACAGAGTGATATAATGAACTTTAGAGACTAGAAGAAGGTGAGTGGGAGGAGGGCTTGGGAAAAAACACTACACATTAGGTGTGATGTACGCTTCTCAGGTGACAGGTGCACGAAAATATCAGAATCTACTACTAGATAATTCATCCATGTAACTAGAAACTACTTGTGCCCCCAAAGCTATTGAAATATAATTAATAAAAAACAAACAAAAACTGCAAGTTAAAATTGATTAATTCACTATTAGAGACTTCAGCAACACTCTATCAGTAATTGACAGATATAGCAGGCAGAAAATCAGTACAAACATAGACAGCCCAAGCCATTAACTGGATCTAATTGACATAGAACACCTTCATTCAAAAACAGCAGAAGACATAGTCTTCTCGAGCTCACATAGGACGTTCAACAAAATAGACAATATTCTGTAATATAAAACACACCATAATTTTAAAAAATAGAAATGATAAAAGTATGCTGTCACAATATAATGGAATTAAGCTGAATAATAATATAATGGAATTAAGCTAAATAATAACAGAAAGATAGCTGTAAAATCCCAAAATCATTGGAGATTAAACAACATACTTCTAAATAGTATGTGTCTCAAAAAAGTCTCAAAGGAATTTAAAAGCATTTGGTACTAAATGAAAATGAAAATACTACCTATCAAACTTTGTGTGATAGAGTGAATATAGAATAAGGTGACATTTGTAGCATTGAATGCATACTTTAGAAAACAGGAATATCTAAATTCAACATTCTAAACTCCTATTTTAGGAAACTATATAAAGAAGAGCAATATAAACCTCAATCAAGCAGAAGAAAAGAAAATAACAAAAGAAATTAGAGCAGAAATCAGTGAAATACTAAACAGGAAATCAATGGAGAAATTCAAATGAAAACAAAAGCTGGATCTTTGAAAAGATTAAAAAAAATTTTTTAAACTCAAATCAGGCTAACCATTAGGAAAAAAAAGGCAGGAATTGAAAATACCAGAAAGGAAAAAGAGAACATCATTGCTGATCCCACAGTCATTAAAAAGATAACAAAAAATATTATGAAAAAGTCTATGCCCGCATATTTGAAAACTTAAGAATGAAATTATACCAATTTTCTACAATCTGTGACGGAAAATAGAAAAAAAATAATAATAACTTTTCTAACTAGATCTAGATAGGTTTACTGGTGATTTCTACCAAATGTTTAAGGATGAAATTATACCAATTTTCTAAAATCTGTGCCAGAAAATAGAAAAAAAAGGGAATATTTCCTAACTCTTAACTCATCCTATAAGGCTAGCACCTCCCTAATACCGAAATTAGATAAAGAAATAACAGGAAGGGAAAACTACAAACCAATATCCCTAATGAACATAGCTGCAAAAACTCACAATATACTATTAGGAAATCAACACCAACAATGTATAAAGTAATTGTACATTAAGTGAAATTATTTCAGATATGCAAGGCTGGTTCAACATTTGAAAAATTAATGTAAATAACATATCCCATCAACAGCGTAAGAAGAAAAATCATATGACCATAACAATAGATAGAGAAACAGAATTTAACAATATCCAACACTGGTTTATTACAAAAACTCTCAGAAACCTGAATACAGGAGAAATTCCTCAACTTCATAAAGAAACCTGCAAAAAATAATGTCGGGAATGTTACTGTAGATAAAATTTATATAATAATGTAGGGAATGTTAATGGTGAGAAACTAGATTCTCCATATTATTTCTTCATATTACTGGGAAAAAGGCAGTGAAACCCTCGCTCACAACTACTATTCAACATGGTATTGGAAGTCCTAGCTAGTGCAATAAGACAAAAAAATGAAAATGAAAGATACATAGATTGGGAAGAAGAAATAAAACTGTTATTTACACAGCTGGTGTGATCTTCTATTCAGAAAACCCCTAAGAATAGACCAAGAAAAGCCCTAAACTAATGAGCAATTTTAGCAAGGTTGCAGGATACGAGGTTAATAAACTAAGTAGTTAATAAACTACTTTTCTGTATATTATCAAGGAAGATACATTAAACTAGATAAATTTGTATTGACTAGTGACAAATTTATAGCCATTTTAAAGCTTACAGGGTATGTCCTAACACATTTTTTTAAACTATGGTTACTAAAACAAAGAATAGATCAAAACAAAGAAACCGGAGCTCAAAAAGATTCAGAAAATTTACTGCAATAGAGACCAGAAACATTGAAACCCATTGGCTGACTCTTGTATTCTTAGGCCCAAACCCTGGGCACCAGGAATCTCATGGCAGATATTCTGCAATATCCCAAAAAGGCATTCCCCCAATGACCATATTAATTATGGATATCGAAGACAATGAATGAGAAAGTTCAGTCCATAAAATGGAACTACATTCTGATAGATTGGCTATCCAGAGGGCTTCTCCACTGAAGGCAGAAAATCAATACTAATCCTTTCTAGCAGGCTATGCTATATATTACAGAGAAAAAGCTACTGTGAATTCCTTCCTCTTCCCCTTAAATAAAGTTGTTGCATTCCTTCTCCATCATTTTATAATGAATATATTGGGGGCAGGTAATTTATCTTTTTGATATAAAGGCGCCACATTTGGACTTAATGAATAAGAGGATAGATCAAACATTTAATTCAAGCTGGATTTGGTAATTAGATGAGCCTAAGAGAATGTCTCTCTTTGAAAGAATATAAATGCACTGAAAAAAAGTAAATAAATTTAATATGTATATATTGGGGAAAGCACCAGTATGAATATTGAACTAGGAATTAAAAAGGCATGTCACGTTTGGTGACTTCCCAATAGTCCATCAGCCTCCTTTCTTCCTCAATTTATAGAAATCCAATTTGTTCAAGTAGCAATGTGTGTGTGTTCGTTCTCCAAGCCTTAGGGAAGCCATATTTAATATAAACCAAGCAAAATAATCCCAGTACTATTTTGTGAGGGCTTTTTTTTTTTTTTTTCTTTTGAGACAGAGTCTCGCTCTGTGGCTAGGCTGGAGTGCAGTGGTGCGATCTCGGCTCACTGCAACCTCCGCCTCCCGGGTTCAAGCAATTCTCCTGCCTCAGCCTCCTGAGTAGCTGGGACTGCAGGCGAGCATCACCACGCCCAGCTAATTTTTGTACTTTTAGTAGAGACGGGGTTTCACCATGTTGGCCAGAATGGTCTCGATCTCTTGACCTCGTGATTCGGCCTCCCAAAGTGCTGGGATTACAGGTGTGAGCCACCATGCCGGGCCTGTTTTGTTTGTTTGTTTGTTTGTTTTTGTTTTTCTTTGAGGTGGATAAGTAACTCACTTATGTCTCGAGCCATAGGGTCAAGGATACAGTGGATTTAGAAAAAAATAACACACCTTTTTCCTTTAACCAAAATTTATTTTAGAGAAGATGGTACTTGGAGATGTTTCAGTCATGTTTAAATCATGAGCGTATAAAACTAACAAAAATAAGCCAAGTGTGGCATTGAAGATATGTAGAAAAAGCTTAGCTATTTGTTGTCATTGCTGAGGCTTTTTGCCAGATATGGAATCATTCAATTTTCTTATTATATTAATTAAATGCCTTTATTATGGAGTTTTGTTATCTCTTTTTTTAAATTAGGATATAAGTTACTCTGCTATAACAAAGAGAACTAAAAATATAGAAACTCATACCAGGTGAGGTTTTATTTCTCTACATGTAATAGTTCAGCAATGCATGGGCTATTCAGGGTGAGTGGGCTGCTGGGTCTACAATGCCGTGAAGGAAACGAGGCTTATTCTATCTTATTTCTTTGCTACCTCTCCACCTCCACCCGCAATGGTGTTGCCCTCATCAGCATGATCAGCATTAACATTATGACCACATTGATATTCTAGCCTTTAAAAAAGGGAAAATGGAGAGAAAACAATTTTATTTTTAAAATAATGTGAGCAGAATGTTGCACACATTCTTTCTACTCACCCTCCAGTAGCAGAAATTCAAATGGCCACACCTAGCTTCATGGGATTCTAGGACATGAAACTTCTAGTTGGGAGTTCATGCCCTGCTAAAACCTTGGGTAAACAGTTGGGTTTACATTGCTCAAAAGACAAACAAAAACAAAAACAAAACAAAACAAAACAAAAAAACAAAAAAAAAATAGTTTTTTTTCTACACTTGTAGCAATTGAAACACTTTAAGAAATAACTGATCTGAACGGTCAAATATTTCTGAGATTTCAACAAGATAAACAATGATAATTATTTTTAATGTTTATCTTTAAGAAGTTCTGGCTGGGCATGGTGGCTTATGCCTGTAATTCCAGAAATTTGGGAGGCCAAAGCAGGTGGATCACTTGCGGTCAGGAGTTTGAGACCAGACTGGCCAACATGGTGAAGCCCTGTCTCTGCTAAAAATATTAGGTTGGTGCCATTTGGCAAAAAACGCAATTACTGTTGCACCAACCAAATACAAAAATTAGCCTGGTGTGGTGGCATGTGCCTGTAGTCCCAGCTACTTGGCAAGCTGAGGCAGGAGGATCACTTGAACCTGGAAGGTGGAAATTTCAGTGAGCTGATATCATGCCACTGCACTCCAGCCTAGGCAACAGAGCAAGACTGTCAAAAACAAAAAAACAAACAAAACCATAAAACAGCCGGGCACGGTGGCTCATGCCTGTAATCCCAGCACTTTGGGAGGCTGAAGCAGGCGGATCACCTGAGGTCGGGAGTTCGATACCAGACTGACCAACATGGAGAAACCCGTCTCTTCTAAAAATACAAAATTAGCTGGGTGTGGTGGCACATGCCTGTAATCCCAGCTACTCGAGAGGCTGAAGCAGGAGAATCGCTTGAACCCAGGAGGTGGAGGTTGTGGTGAGCCGAGATCGCGCCACTGCACTCCTGGGCAACAAGAGTGAAACTCTGTCTTAAAAAACAAAACAAAACAAAAACAAAAACAAAAACAAACAAAAAAACAGAAAAAAAAACCCAGGATTTCTTTACTTTGGAAAAAAGTGGGTTCAAAAACATACCATAGAGGAAGCCAGACTGCAGGAATTGAACACAAACGATTATATAAATAATGTTGGTAAGGAAAGTGTGGAAAAATATATAGGCCTGTAAATTTAAGACTACCATTTTAAAGCTGAAATGAATGAGCATATCCCAACATTGGTAGGTAGAACAACAAAAATTAATATGGTGAATTATATCATCAGATATTCAAATGTTAAACTAACTACGTGTTCTTTCACTAAACACTGGCTAATAATGAGCTTTCTTCTTCCCTTTCATATATTGATTGATGGTGATAATATTTTGCTGGATATTTTTCATTTATTACAATGAATTTGTCAGATTTGGGAATCATAGCTTTGCTAGCATCGTAAAGTAAGTTGGAAAATATTCCTGCTTTCTCTATTTTTAAAATAATTCCTTTAAGAGTCAAGTGTTTCTTAATTAAGTAATAGAATTATCAAAGCAAGTCATTTGAACTTGAAACTTCTATGTAAGAAGGTTAATTATAGATATTGCACAATTTATATCATATTTTGTTTCTTTACATCAAAATTTAAAAATAAATTCCATAAATTTAATTATAGCCTTTAGTGTCATTAACATCTGTATGACATGTACTATTCCCCCCTTTTCACTCCTGATATTGGAAGTTTGTACTTTTTTTGTTGTACCTTGATTAATTTCCCCAAGGAGTTATGAATTTTAAAAACCAACTTTTACTTTTGTTGATTTTCTCTGTTCCATATTGTTTTCTACTCTATTAATTTTGGCTCACTTCTAACTTATTTCTGTAAAATTTGTTTCTTAATCCCACAGATGATAGATAATACACTCAGTATGATTCCCAACCTATGAAGTTTTTTGAAACTTGCTATATAGCCGAGCATATAAATGCTGCAACTTTAGAAATGTGCACTTTATTAACATTTACTTTCTACAGGTTCCCTGTACTGTGTTTTATACATTTAAAGTTAAAGTTTGATCATTGTTATTTTGTGTATTTTTACTGACTTTTTTTCTGACAAGCACTAAGAGACATCTATCAAAATCCTCCAATTTGAATGTGAACTTCTCAATTTATCTTTATTTTTATGTCATTTTATTTCTTTATACATGCTTGGATATGTAATTCAGAGCATACAAGTTAAGGATAGTTATATATTCCTAGTTGATTGACTCTTTTATCATTATGGGATTTTTTTCATTATAATTAGTATTAATTCTTGTTTTTTAATAGTTTTTTATTTTTAATTTTTATGGGTACATAATAGGTGAGTATATTTATGGTGTACATTAGATACTTTGATACAATCATGCAATGCATAATAATCACATCATAGAGAGTGAAGTATCCATCCTCTCAAGCATTTCTCCTTTGTGTTATAAAGAATTCAATTTCACTCTTTTAGTTACTTTAACATGTATAATTAAGTTATCATTGACTATAGTCACCCTGTTGTGCTATCCAATAGTAGGTCTTATTCATTCTTAGTAATAATTATTGATGTTAGACAATTTTTTCTGAAATCTGTATAGCTACATTGTTTCTTGTTTTGTTTTTATCATATAAATCCATTATCATTTAATTAAAAATACATTATCTTCCTTATATTTAATTTTTTTCTCTTTTAAGCAGCATGCACTTAGAATTTTCTTCAGTCTTAATATCTTTGTCTTTAAATTGGAAGAGTTAGATCTTTTTTAATTTGAAGTAATTATTGATTTATTTGTACTTGAATCCACCAGCAAACTTTTCTATTTGTCCCATTTTCTATGCTCTTTTTTTTGCTATTTTCTTGACTTATTTTTAGTGAATCAATAATTGAATCATTTCATCTTTGATTAGATTATTTTAAAATACTTTTAATAGTTATGCTGGAGATTATAACAGGTCTTATAGATTTATTAATGTCTAACATAAATTTTTAATTTTAACACCTCCCAAATGATGCAAGGACCTTCAACACTTAAAAGTAATGTAGGCTCCTTTATTTTTGTATTGTTTTTTCTGAATATTAATTCTGCATATACTTAAAACTTATGTACCATATATATTATTGCATTACATATTTAATATACTTTTAGATTCACCCACATATTTATCCTTTTCATGGTTCTTTATTCCGTTTCATAATTTTGTGTTTTGAACTGCTACAATTTTTTATTGGTTTTATCTAATGATCTCACTTTGGAATTGCTTTTTGCATAGAGGTTACTGGAGAGAATTATCTCAGTATTTTTTTTTTCCTTTTCACATAGAAACATTTATTTCACCTGTATTTTTGGAGGATATTTTTATTGGTTATATAATTCTAAGCTGCCAATTATTAATGCTTACCACTTTAAAGCTGTCAAGTTATTATCTTCTAGCATCCAATTTTTCTGATAAGAAGTCATCTTTAAATTTGATTGTTATGCCTTAGGAGGCCACGTGTTGATTAACTTTGGCCATTAAGAGGTTTCTATTCACCTTTGATTTTCAGGATTTTATTATAAATTGTCTAGTTTGGGGGTTGCTTGTTTTTGTTTGTTTGTGTTTTTGTTTTTTCTTTGTTTTGTTTTTGTTTGTTTGTTTTTGTTTTTTGGCTTGGAGCTCTTAGAGATTTTCCAATCAGTGACTTGACAAACTTATTCATTTGTTATATCTCTTCAAATACTGTTTCTGTGTTATTCTGGTGCTCCAATGACCCAAATGTAACTTTTTATTATTTTCCCACCAGTACTTTTCAAATTTAAAAAAAATATATATTTTTTTAATTTTTAATTCTTGTAAGTACATAGTGTTTATATTTATGGGGTATATAAGATATTTTGATACAGGCATTCAATAATCACATCAGGGTAAATGGGACATCCATCTCCCTCAAGCATTTATTCTTTATTGGTGCTATAAACAATCCAATTATATTCTTTAAGTTATTTTTTTAATGTTCAAGAAATTATTGTTGACTGTAGTCATTCTGTCATACTATCAAAGACTAGATCTTCTTTTTTTTTTTTTTTTTTTTTTTTGGGCAGAGCCTCTCTCTGTCTCCCAGGCTGGAATGCAGTGGCGTGATCTCCACTCACCGCAACCTCTACCTCCTGGACTCAAGCAATTCTCCCACCTCAGATTCTTAAGTAGCTGGGACTATAGGTGCACACCACCATGCCTGGCTAATTTTGTATTTTTTGTAGTGATGGGTTTCCTCATGTTGTCCAAGTTGGTCTCCACCTCCTGGGCTCAAGTAATCCACCCGCCTCAGTTTCCCAGAATGCTGGGAGTACAGGCACAAGACACTGCACCCAGCCAAATACTAGCTCTTATTCATTCTAGCTATCATTTTGTACTGATTAACCATCCCATTTTCCCCCAGTACCCCACTATCATTCCCGGAATATGGTAACCATGCTTCTAAACTCTATCTCCATGAGTTCAATCATTTTAATTTTCAACCTCACAAATACATGAGAACATGCAAAGTTTGTCTTTCTGTGCCTGGCTTATTTCACTTAACATATGACTTCCGGTTCCATGCATATTGCTACAAATGACAGGATCTTGTTCCTTATTATAGCTGAATAGTACTTCGTTGTGTATATGTACACATTTTCTTTATCGTTCATCTATTGATGTACACTAAGGTTGATTCCAAGTCTTGGCTATTGTGTAGAGTGCTGCAGTAAACATGGGAGTGCAGATATCTCTTAGATATATGATTTCCTTTCTTTTGCATAGTATACTGAGAAGTGGGATCGCTGGATCAATGGCAGCTATATTATTAGTTTATTGAGGAAACTTCAAACTTTTCTTCATAGTGGTTGTAATAATTACATTCTCACCAACAGTGTACAAGGGTTTTCATTTCTCCACATCCTAGCCAGTATTTGTTATTGCCTGTCTTTTGGATATAAGCCATTTTAACCGGGGGTGAAATGATATCTCATTGAAGTTTTGATTTGCATTTCTCTGATGATCAACAATGTTGAGCACCTTTTCATATATCTATTTGACATTTGTATGTATTCTTTTGAGAAATATCTACTCATATTTTCCCCATTTTTAATCTTTTTTGAGATTTTTTTTTCAGTAGAGTTGTTTGAGGTGTGTAGATTTGTTCTCGGGTTTTCCATTCTGTCGCATTGGTCTATGTGTCTGTTTTTATGCCAGTACCCTGCTGTTTTGGTTACTATAGCTCTCTAGCATAATTTAAAGACAAGTAATGAGATTCCTCCAGTTTAATTTCTTTTGCTTAGGATAGCTTTGGCTATTCTGGAATTTTTGTAGTTACATTTAAATTATAGGATTGTTTTCTCTATTTCTGTGAAGAATGCCATCTGTAATGTTGTAGGGATTGCATTAAATCTGTAGATTGTATTGGATAATATGGATATTTTAACAATAGTGATTCTTCCACTCTATGAACATGGAATACCTTTCCCTTTTTGTTTCTTCTTCAATTTCTTGCATTAAAGTTTTGTAGTTTTCATTGTAGAGATGTTTCACTTCTTTGGCTAGTTTAATTCCTAGGTATTTTATTTTACTTCCAGCTATTGTAAATGGAATTACTTTTTTATTTCTTTTTCACATTGTTAACTGTTGGCATAGAGAAATGATACTGATTTTTGTATGTTGATTTTGTATCCTGCAACTTTACTGAATTTGTTTATAAGTTCCCGTAGTTTTCCTGTAGAGTCTTGAGGTTTTTCCAAATATAAGATTATGTCATCAGCAAACAGGGTAATTTGGCTTCTTCCTTTCCTATGTGGATGCTCTTTAAATCTTTCTCTTGTCTGATTGTGCTAGTTCGGACTTCCAGTAATATGTTGAATAACAGTGGTAAAAGTGGGCATCCTTGTTTTATTCCAGATCTTAGAGGAAAGGGTTTCAGTTTTTCACTACTTGGCATGATACTAACTGTGGGTCTGTCATATATGGCTTTTATTATGTTGAGGTATGTTCCTTCTGTCACCATTTTTTTAGGGTTTTTTTTTTTTTTTTTTTTTTTTTTTTTTGAGACGGAGTCTGGCTCTGTTGCCCAGGCTGGAGTGCAGGGTTTTTACCATGAATAGGTGTTGAATTTTATCAAATGCTTTTTCAGCATCAGTTGAAATGATCACATGGTTTATATCCTTCTTTCTGTTGATATGATGTATCACATTGACTGATTTGCATATGTTGACCCATCCTTGCATCCCAGGGCTAAATCCCACTTGATCGTGTTGAATGATTTTTTAAATGTGTTGTTGAATTCAGTTTGCTAGTATTTTGTTGAGGATCGCTGCATCAATACACATCAGTGATATTGGCCTATAGTTTTCTTTTTTTGATGTGTCCTTGTCTGGTTTAGTATCAGGGTAATACTGACCTCACAGAATGAGTTTGAGAGTATTCCCTCCTCCTTCATTTTTCAGAATACTCTAAGTAGTATTGGTAATAGTTCTTCTTTAAATGTTTGGTGAAATTCAGCAGTGAAACCATTGGGTCCCTAGCTTTTGTTTGGTGTGGAAAACTTTTATTACAACTTCTATCTCATTATTTATTATTAGTCTGTTCAGGTTTTGGATTTCTTCCTGGATCAATCAAGATAGGTTGTAAATATCTGGGAATTTATACATTTCTTCTGTGTTTTCCAATTTATTGGCATATAGTTACTCATAGTAGCCACTAATAATCCGTTTAGTTTCTGTGGTATCAGTTGTAATGTCTCCTTTTTCATCTCTAATTTTATTTATTTAGATCTCTCTTTTTTATTAGTCTGGCTAAAGTTGTGTCAATTTTCTTTATCTTTGTAAGAAACCAACTTTTTCTTTCATTAATCTTTTCTAATTTTTAGTCTCAAATTTTATGTATTTCTACTGTGATTTTCACTTTCTTCTACTTAATTTTGGGTTTGGTTTGCTCTTTCTCGTATATTTCTTTAAGATGCATAATTCATTTGTTTATTTAAAATTTTTCTCCTTTTATGATGTAGGCATTTATTGCCATACATTTCCCTCTTGGTAGAGCTTTTGCATAGGTTGTTGTGTGTTGTGTTTTCATTTTTATTTTTCCAATAAATTTTACAATTTTATTCTTAACATCTTCATTGACCCAATCATCATTCAGGAGCATTTTGTTTATTTCCTATGTGTTTTTATAGTTTCCAAAATTCCTTTGGTTATTGATTTCTAGCTTTATTGTGGTCAGAAAAATATTTGACATAAATACAATATTTTTGCAATTTTTGAGATCTTTTTTTTGTGGCCTAACATATGGTCTATCCTTGAGAATGTTTCATGTGCTGAGGAGAAGAATGTGTAATCTGAAACCTTTGGGTGCATATTCTGTAAGTGTCTATTAGGTCTATTGGGTCTATAGCACAGATTAAGACAAGTGTTTCTTTGTTGGTTTGCTGTCAAGTTTATCTCTCCAATGATGAAAGCTGGGTATTTAAGTCCCAAGCTATTACTGTATTGAGATCTGTCTCTTTCTTTACCTCTAATTGTATTTGCTTTATATATCTCGGTGCTCCATTTTTGAGTGCATATTTACAATTGTTTTATCTTTGATGTAGTTTATATATTTGTCCCTGCCAAAATCTCATGTTGAATTATAATCCCCAACGTTGAAAGTGGGGTCGGTTGAGAGGTGATTGAATCATGGGGGCAGATTTCTCACGAGTGGTTTAGCATCCCCTTGGTGCTGTTCTCATGACAGTAAGTTCCCATGAGATATGGTATTTTAAAAGCATGTGGAACCTCTCCCCATGTTCTCTCTTTCTTGCTCCTGCTTTTGCCAAGTGAGGTGCCTGCTTCCCCTTTGCCTTCCACCATGATTGGAAGCTTCCTGAGGCCTCCCCAGAGCAAATCTTCTGTGCTTACTGTATAGAATGCAGAAATGTGAGCCAATTAAACTTCTTTTCTAATAAATTACCCACTCTCAGGTATTTTTTATAGCAGTGCAAAAATTGCCTAATGATATCTTCTTGTTGAGTTGACCACTTTATCACTATATGGTAACCTTCTTCGTCTCTTTTTATAGTTTTTGCCTTGACATTTATTTTGTCTAAGTATGGCTATTCCTGCTCCTTATCGGTTTCTATTGGCAAGGAATAACTTTTTCCATTCCTTTATTTTTAGTTGTGTGTGTCTTTATAGGTGATATATGTTTCTTATAGGCAACTGATCATGGAGTCTTTTTTTTATCCATTGAGCCATCCTGTGTTTGCGTTGGAGAGTTTAGTTCACTTTCATTCAATGTTATTATTAATAAGTAAGGACTTAACCAGTCTTTTTGTTGTTTTCTGGTTATTTTGTGGTCTTCTCTTCCATTTTTCCTTCCTTCCTGTCTTCCTTTTAGTGAATTTGATTTTCTCTGGTGGTATGATTTAGTTCCTTGCTTTTTATTTTTTGTGCGTCTGTTGTATTTTTTTTTTTAATTTGAGGATACTATGAAGCTTGCAAATGCTGTCTTTTAAACCATTATTTTAAGCTGATAACAACTTAACACTCTTTGTACAAACAAACAAGGAAAAAGAAAAGTAATAAAAACTCTACACCATAACTTCATCACTCTACCTTTTAACTTTTGTTGTTTCTAATTATATATTATTATACTGTATATGTCTTGAAAAGTTGTTGTAGTTATTATTTTTATTGGTTCATCATTTATTTGAACTTAAGAGAAGTTTACACACCACCATTACAGTGTTCTAGTATTCTGTGTTTGTCTGTGTATTTAATATTACCAGTCAGTCTTTTACCTTCTGATGATTTCTCATTGCTCATTAACATCCTTTTCTTTCTGATTGAAGTACTCCCTGTAGCATTTCTGGTGTTGATGAAATCCCTCAGGTTTGTTTGTCTGGAAAATACTTTATTTCTCCTTCATGTTTGAAGAATATTTTTGCTAGATATACTATTCTAGGGTAAAACATTTTTCCTTCAACACTTTAAATATGACATGCTGCTCTCTTGGGGCCTGTAAGGTTTACACTAAAAAGTCTCCTGCCAGACATATTGGAGTTCCCTTTTGTGCAATTTGTTTCTTTTCTCAACTGCTTTTAGGATCCTTTCTGTATCATAGACCTTTGGGAGTTTGATTATTAAATGCCTTGAAATAGCCTTTGTGGGGAGTTAAATCTGCTTGGTGTTCTATAACCTTCTTGCATGTGAATACTGACATCTTTCTCTAGGTTTGGGAAATTCTCTGTTATTATCCCTTTGAATAAACTTTCTGCTCCTATCTCTTTGTCTGCTTCCTCTCTAACGTCAATAACTCTTAAATTTTCCATTTAGAAGTTATTTTGTAAATATATTAGGTATGCTTCATTGTTTTTTATTCTTCTTTATTTTGTGTCCTGTGACTGTATTTTCAAATAACCTGTCCTCAATCTCACTAATTCTTTCTTTTTTGTATGTGTAATTGTGGGTTTTTATTTCACTTGGGTAAATAACTAGGAGTGGGATTACTGGATCTTATGGAAAGCATACATTTAACTTCATAAGAAATGGCCAAACTATTTTCCAGAATAGCCACACCATTTTACATTTCCACCAGCAATAAATGAGACTCTGTTACTCCTCATTCTCATCAACACTTCCTATTGTCACTATTTTTTAAATTTTAGCTATTCAAATGGTATGTGGTGGTATCTCATTGTGTTTTTTTAATACCACATTTTAAAATTTAAAACTTTATTATTTTAATTTTATATTTTCTAATTGACAAATAACTGTACATTTTCATAAGGTGCACAGTGATGTTTTGATATATATAATGTGTAGTAGTCATATCAAGGTGAAGAGCATATTATCATCTCAAACATTTATCGTTTCTTTATGTTGCCAAAATTAAATATAGTCATTCTAGCTACTTGAAATGATGTATTATTGTTAACTATTGTCATAATAGAGTGGTATAGAACACTAGAAGTTATTCCTCTTATCTACTTGTAATTTAGTTTGGATTTTTTTGCATTTTTCTTTTTTTTATTTAACTTTTATTTTAAGTTCAGGGGAACATATGCAGGTTTGTTATATAGATAAACTTTTGTTATAGGAATTTGTTGTACATATTATTTTTTGACACAGGTATTCAGCCTAATAATATCCATTAGTTATTTTTCATGATCCTCTCCTTCCTCTTAACCTCCACTTATATATATATATATATATATATATATATATATATATATATATATATATATGTGTGTGTGTGTGTGTGTGTGTGTGTGTGTGTGTGTGTGTAAGATATATATATGTAAGATATATATATACATATCTTAAAATATATATAGATTTTAAATTACTTTTGGCAAATTTTCTTCCTGCTTCCTCTTGTAATCTTGAAAAAAAACTTGATAGTTTTTTTCTGTTTGCAACTTTGAGTTTCTGTATGTATCTATGTCTCTACTAAATTCTTTTGTTAATATATATTTATATATGTTGATCTGTATTTATATATCTATTATTATTGATATTTTATTGTTATATAAATCAATATATATCTATACATATTAATATGCATATTGACTTATATATATCAATGAGAGAATTGTGTATATTGACTAATTTTAATTGGTGAATAATTATTTTAAGCAACTTTGAGTCTGTGACAGATATTCTGATATGATTTACAAATGTGACATGTGTGTCAAAAAATATGGTTTTTTTAATCAATGATTTTCTGTTATATATGTATATTTTTGCATTTTTATTATGGTCCAAGCCAGGTATTCAAAACCCAGGATATATCAAATTAAAAAGTAATTCATAAATTTAAAATTATTATTATGCAACGATTTCATAATTTCTAATGATATAAAAGCACCACAGCTTCTGGGACTTATACAATATTCACTTGTTTGATTAAGACAATATGACAAAATTCCATAAAGGAGATTTTTAAATTGATTCTTTTTCTATGGCAAAATAATATAGAATTTTGTTAATTCTAATTCTTTCAATAACTGTAAACTTCAAGGTGGGAGAAATAGCACCCCCCCACCCCTCCGTTATCTCTGCAAAGTAGCATATTATATAAACCTGTAAGCACCTATGAAAGGCAAAAGAAGGCTTAATGACAGGGGATTATATTCTTCATTGTAACCATTCTCAATATTTCTTCATGAGTATGTATTCCTCACACTAGTAAATAAGAGTAATATGAAGGAAGACGTGTTTACAGTTCTCTTTCCTCTTGATTGACAAATGTACTTATTATTTTGAACATATCTCACTGTGACTGGAATCCTGTCAAAAGTGAATGTGAAGGCAAGAGAGCACATATAATGCACATATTTTATAAAGTGCAAATAAATGAGCAATGGAGAAAAGCCCTCTTGTAATAAAGATTTACAGGATGAACAAATGGGTGGTTATTCAGAATTATAGTTGTATATCAAACTGTAGCCTTCTAGGGGGTAATTTCGATAACTGTGATATAAATGAAGATGGAGTGTGGTTGCCAAATGATATGGATTAATGCAGAGAAATTGCCCTCTCAAGTAGCTGGATTTTATGTGTAACTTTCATGATATTTTCACAATTGTCCACTAATTTATTGATGCTTCATTTGCATGCCAAATGGTGGCATTTTGGAAGAAGTATAAAAGACTACTGTGTTTAATCTAATTCAACAAGTATTTATTGCATCACTTACATATTCAAGCTATTGTAAGGAACACAAAAGAGATAATGAAAATGGTCCCAGCCCTCAAGCAACTTTTAAACTACTGAGGATGACACATGAAACCATGAAATAACTATTTAACTGCTAACAACTGGTGCAGAGATTGAGTACCATAGAACTTCAGACTAGAGATAAATTAAAAAGCACTTGAATGATCAGGAAATCTTCATGAAAGAGGATGTCAATTTTGCTGTCATGGATGTAAATTTTAAAACAATATCTAACCCATGTATTTTATCACTATGAGCGTGATTGTGTGCTATATCGTGCAGAATATATGTAAATGATTAAACCATGTCCTCAAATATTTTATAATTCAGGAGGATAAGAGACAGGTTCACAAATAACTCTCATATAAGGCAGAATATTATATAGTACAAATAAAAACATTAAAAGTATAACAACGTTCTAAGAAGGTGGTTATGACAAATAAATGAGAAGTTGTGGAAAACGACATGGTATTTAAACATGGCATTTTGGATGGTGTTCAAAAGAAAGGTTAGGAAACAGAGAAAAGTAGCTAGTCCAGCATGAAGCAATAGAAATAAAAGCTCCGGAGACGGGAACAGCACAGGCCTTATTTTGGATAAAGTAAACCAGTAGTAAATAAATGTGAAAAATGAAATAAATTATCACACTGAGCATTGGCCTAAAATTCAGGTTGAAGCACTATTCTTATTTCTCTGGGTATGAAGAGCCATTGAAGGTTTAAACAGAGAATAACTTGATTAAAGCTGTGATTCAGAAAGATCAGTGGACCAAAAAAAATTTAATGGTGAAATGAAAATGGTGAATAACAGAAATAGGGAAATAAATTGCTTTGACCTCGTGTATTTTGATGCTGTTAGGTGCTTACAAATTAAGATTTGTTATTTCTTCTTCATCTTGAAACCTTTATCATTACATAGTGTTGTAACCGAGCGAGTTATAGAGAAATGCCACACTCTGAGACTAATTCAGGAGTCCTTTATTGCCGGCGACCGAAAGACGGCTAGTACTCAAAATTCTCTTGGCCACAAAGAAGGGGCTAGATTTCTTTTTTGTACCTTGGTCTAAAAGGGAAGGGGGAGCCTAGCTGAAGCAATTTTTACAGTAGCAGAACAGGCAAAAAGTTAAAGGAATTAATGGTTACAGAGATAGTTAACAGAAAAATAAACAGTTCCAGGTGCAGGGGGTGAAACTATCACAAAGAGATAATGCATGGGCTTTGGGTACCATCCACCGAGCACGTCCCTAGGAGCTGCTGGTGCAGCTTGTCTCAATATCTTATTAGTAAGTGCATTCCTGGATGTGCTTGGAGTCAGCTTGCACTAGTTAAGACCTTGAGGAAGTGGGGTGGGTAAGGGGCTGCAAGTGAAGGAGCCAAAATGGAGTCTGTCTGGCTCTCTCAGCTAAGGGAGAGTCAATCAGGTTAAAACAAGGTAGGGCATCACATTAGTACCTGTCTATATTCTTGATACTTGTTCTTGCTCTGAAGTCTTCTCTGCTGAAATTAATATAGCTACTTGACTTTCCTTCTGATAGATGTTAGCATGATACATCTTGTTGCATCACTTTACTTCTATCTTATATATCTACATTTATATTTAAAGTGAGTTTCTTGTAAAAAACAATCTTTGTCTTTTCATTGGTGTAAACAATTGACAATTAACGTGATTATTGATATAGTTAAATTAATATGTACATATTTTTTCTGTTCTTTATCCTTATTTTTTCTTCTACTCTTTTTTCTGCCTTTTGTCGTCTTAATTCGGCTTTTTTTGAGATTCCATTTTATCTACTTTTTTTTAGCATATCAGTGATACTTATTTTACAACTTTTTAAAATGGGTTGCCCTACGGTTTGCAATATACATTTGCACTTGTTCCAGGTCCACCTTAAAATAACTTGATAGTGCTTCCTAGGTAATGCAAGCACCTTATAATAACACATATTCCCAATTTTTCTCTCATCCCTTACATCATTGCTGTCATTCATTCACTTATATATAAAGCATAATCATATATTTTTGTTATGGTCATTTTGAAAGAAAACTATCTGTCATGTCACTAAAAAAATAAAATTAAACATTTCAATTTTATCATCACTTATTCCTTCTCTAAAGATCTTTTTTTATGGAGATATGATCATCTGACTTGTATAATTTTCTTTCTCTTTGAATATATTCCTCTAACATTTGTTGCAAGGAGGATCTACTGGCAGCAAATTCCCTCAACTTATCTCATCTGCAAAAGTCTTTATTTCTCTCTCATTTTTGAAGGATGGTTTTTCAGGATGCAGAATTCTAGGCTGGTAGGGGTATTTTTTTTCTTCTCAACAATTTAAATTTTCACTCTCTTCTTGCATGCTTTCTGAGGAGAAATAAGATATAATTCTTTTCTTTGTTATTTTATAGGTAAGGTGTTCTTTTACTTCTTCTGGCATATTTTTTCAAAGAGATTATTTTTTACCTCCCCCTACCAAGGTGCACACAGTAATTTTTTCCGATCTTCACTGTGAAAATATAGTTGGGCTCCTGGAGGTAAAGCTCACAAAAGAGTGAACATGCGTCCTAAAACTGAGTCCCCCTGGAGTTTGTATGTCTACAGCTGTCATATTTAAAGTTGAGAAACCAAGATCATGCTAAGATGAGGAACAAAGTAAGAAAGTCCACTCTTAATGCTCCTATCAACATCATACTGGAAGTCCTAGTTAATGCAATAAAATTAGAAATGGAAGTAAAGGTATACAGATTGAAAAGGAAAAAATAAAATTCTTTTTTTTTTTAGTTGGGATGATTGCTTATGTAGAAAATTTCAAAGAATCAACAAAATCTTCTGGATCAAATATGTGATTACAGAAAGTTTGCAGTTTACAAAGTTAGTATACAAAAGCAATTTTCTTTTTCTTTCTCTTTTTTTCTTTTTTTTTTTCTTATTTTATTTTATTTTGTCACCAGGCTGGAGTGCGGTGGCACTATCTTGGCACACTGCAACCTCCGCCTCCCGGGTTCAAGTGATTCTCCTGCCTCGGCCTCCCGAGTAGCTGGGACTACTACAGGCACATGCCACCACACCCAGCTAATTTTTGTATTTTTAGTAGAGACAGGGTTTCCCCATGTTGGCCAGGATGGTCTTGATCTTCTGACCTCATGATCTGCCTGCCTCAGCCTCCCAAAGTGCTGGGATTACAGGCATGAGCCACCGTGCTTGGCCCATTTTCTTTTTTATATACTAGAAGTGAACAGTTGGAATTTGAAATTAGAAACACAATGCCATTTATATTGACAACAAAAACATGAAATACTTAGGTACAATCTAACAAAATATGTATAAGATGTACATAAAGGGAAACTAAAACATTGATGAATAATTAAAGATGTCAACTTTTTCAAAATTGTCCATAGATTCAATGCATTTCCAATCAAAATTCAAAATTGTTTTGTGGATTACAGCAAACTGATTCTAAAGTTTATGTGGAAAGGCAAAAGACCCCAAATAGCCAACACAACATTGAAGGAGAGCAAAATGAGAGGATTAATACTACCCGACTTCAAGACTATATTGTTACAATAATCAACATATTGTGGTATTGGTAAAGAAACAGAAAAATAGATCAATGGAACAGAATAGAAAGTCCAAAAATAGACCTACATTAATATAACCAATTTATATTTGACAAATGAGCAAGAAAGTTCAGTGGAGAAAGAATGCTCTTTTCAACAAAATGTGCTAGAATAATTGGACATTCATATGCAAAAAAATGAATGTAGACACAGACCTTGCACATTTTACAAGCAATAGCATCAAATGCATTGTAGACCTAAATGTAAATGCTAAACTATAAAACTCCCAGATGATAACATAAGAGAAAATATAGGTGGCCTTCGGTTTGGCCAAGACTATTTAGATACAGCACCATTAGCATAATCTATGGAAAAAAGGAGATACATTGGAATTCTTTAAAATTATAATGTTTTTCTGTGAAACATCCTGTTACAGAGAATGAAAATCGAGTCATACAGTGAGACAAAATATTTTCAAAACATACACAGAATGAAGAATTTGTATTCACAATACATAAAGAATTCTAGAAACTCAACTGTAAGAGAAGAAACATCTCAATATTAAAAACAGATAAAATATCTAAACAGACACCTCATGAAAGAAGATCTGCAAATGGAAAATAAGCAAATGAAAACATGCTCAACAGCATATGTAATTAGGGAATTGTAAATTAAAACAACATTATGATGGTTAATATTATGTGTCAACTTCATTGGATTGAAGGATGCCTAGATGGCTGCTGAAGCATTGTTTCTGGGTTTGTGCAAAGGGGTGTTTTCAGAGATTGACATGTGAGTCAGAGTACTGGGAAAGGAAGACCCAGCCTCAGTGTGGATAAGCACTATCCAATTGGCTGCCAACAGAGATAGAACAAAGGGAGCAGAAGAAGGGAGGTATTCAGCTTGCTGAGGTCTCTTGCTCTGACCGTCCCTCCCCTTGCCAGAAGTTAGCTTTCTCTCTTCATGCCCTTGGTAATCGGACTCCAGGTTCTTTGGCCTCTGAACTCTGGGACTTGCACCAACAGGCTCCTGGGTTCTCTTGGGCCTTTGGCCTCAGACTGAGGGCAGCACTGTCAGCTTCACTGGTTTTGAGGCTTTCACACTTGGACTGAGCCACACTATCAGCTTTTCTCAGTCCCCAGCTGGCAGAAGTCCTATCATGGGAATTCACCTTTGTAATCATGTGAGCCAATTCTCCCTAATAAATCCCTTTTATGTATACATATATCCTATTGGCTCTGTCACTCTCAAGAACCTTGATTGATACAATAAGAAACAACTATATAACAATTAAAATGGAAAATTCCAAAACACTGATAGCACCTAATGCTGGCAAGGAAGTTGAGTAACAAGAACTCTCATTCTTTGCTGGTGAAAATGCAAAATGGTACACCACTTTGGAAAACAGCTTGAAACTTTCTTACAAAACTCATGTTTATAGCAGCCATACTCATAATTTCCACAACTTGGAAGTGACCATGACATCCTTGAATAGGTGAATGGATGAACTATGTATGGCACATCCATTCAGTGGGATATTATTCAGTGATAAAAACAGAAAGACATAGATGAACTAATTTCACTAGGTGGAAAAAGCCAATCTGAAAAGGCTGTATGCTGTGTGATTCCAACTATTTGACATTCTGTAAAAGGGTGAACTATGGAGACAGTAAAAAGGTCAGTAACTTTCAGAGATTTAAGGGTTCTAAGGGAGGGAGGAGTAGATGGAGCACAAGGAATTATTAGGGCAGTGAAATTATTTCTCTGTTGATATTAAAGTATCAATATTAAAATATATACACGTACTATGTACCCACAAAAATTAGGAATAAAAAATTTAAAACAAACCAAAGTATATATTTATTTTCATGTTTGGTTTTCACAAATTTTAATATGATGTGTTTAGGTGTGGTTTTCCTTATATTTATCATTCTTGTGGTTTGTAGCATTTCCTAAATCTGTCACTGGTATTTTCCAGCTTCAAGAGTTTCTTAGTCATTAGTTTTTCAAATATTGTTGTTGTGCCATCTTTCTCTTCTATTCTTCTGTAACTCGAATTATACATTTTTATACTTTTCACCATGTCCCAAATGTCTCCTACACTTACTTCTCTGTTATCTGTTCTATTTTTCTCCCAATAGCTGGATGTGGATATTTTCTTCTGGTTTATCTTCTAGGCCATTAATTTTCTCTTTAGCTGTCTAACGTACTATGAAATCTATTTACTGAGTTCCTAAAATTGCTTATTGTATACTTAGTCCTAAAGTGTCCATTTTTAATTTCTTCAGTTCTCTGCTAAAATTGTCTAACTTGCCATTCAGTTTTTTGAAATATCACTCCAGATAATTTTAGTTTTTGCCTGATATCTCAAATACCTGACTATATTGTGGGTCAATTGCAATGGTCATGCTTACAATTAATGTTTGCTTAAGTTGTGTCTTTTCCTATGTCTGGTTATTTTTTATTCAGGATAGTATGTGCGGAAAATGTACAGATACTTTAAAACTCCATCTGATGTTAACTTCTTCCTAAGAGGTTTCATTTTGTTTCCCTCAACCAGATGTGCTAATAGAAGATCACCTTAATCATGTGGTAATGAGTTTATTATTAGAAACTGGGTTTCAGTCCTTGTTGAGATTGAGCTATTTCTAGTTCTCTCTTACTCTTAGAGAATAGCCCTTAGAGATACCAACAGTTTAGGTTGTTAGCTAGGTCCCTCTAATTTGAAGTCTCAGAACTGCCATTTTCTCCCTTAACTCTGCAAAACTTATGAAAGCTATATCCTCAATTAAGAAACTGTCACATTCCCTTCACTGCTAAGCCTATTGCCCGCTAATTTTGAATTGGAAAATTCCCCAAGGACAAAGCAACATCAACATCAAGTTTCATATTCTAATAAAGATATTGGAACTTCAAAGCTGAAACCTTTTAGAGAGGGGTGAAGGAATGCTTCAGAAGTCATAAAGAAAAGCAAAGAAGACATTTACCCTTCTTCTAGTTATACTTCTAGGAAGATACTGGAGAAATAGTCATCACGTTTAAGAGCTGAAATGGAAGAACAGAATTAGTGCCGAAACAGAAAAGCCAAATTTCAGTAAAAAAAAAAAAAAAAAAGATAAAGAGACCTACATGAAAAATATGACTATAAAAGTTTTTAAATTCGTTGTCAATGTATGCAATTCATAATTATGACCAGAATTTTAGAGATGACACAGTTGCAGGTAGTAAACAAAAATTAAAGGTGTTAGAGTTATTTTATGTGTGTCTTGATTAATTAGAAGATTCATATTTCATTCTTTGCTTACTTTGTGATTTCTTTCCACTTTCCTATGGACTAAATGGGTATTGTTTTGACAACATTTTGAGTAACTATGTTTCAAGATTGTTTGTAAAATATCTGTTATCAAATATTGGTAAATTTTGAGATGCTTATATTAAAATATCGGAGTGAGATTATATTTAAGAAATAACAGTATACTAGTCAAAAAACTAAAATATAGTACATTTTAAAATTTAGTTTTTTAATACATACCAAATAAAGTCATCAACTAAAATGAGGGTGGATTTATCAAACACTATCTTCCACTTTCAGGATTGAAATAATTCTAACAGATGTTACAGAACACTATTTTATGAAAGTATTGTCTTTGGTATGCAATTTAGTGGAAATAGCTTATGTTGATATTTGCCTTAATTTAATATTTATTTTTACTCACCCAGGGCAGTAGAGCTTAACTGCAAGCCTGTTATTTAAGAGAAAATGGCCTCTGTTTCTAACATTGTCAGTTCAAAATATAAACAGCATTGAATGTGTCAAACCCATATGTAGGTGGAGAATCTACATCATTATCATTTTATTCAGATTTCTTAGAATCTATAAGATATTGATAAGAAATAGGAGCTTCCAGGATCCGTGGAGTTGAAGGGGCGTGAAAAAAAGGGTTAGAGGTCATTAAAGTAAGAACTACTAGTAATTTTCACCTTATAAGAAACAATGGCAGAAATTCAGGTTTCTATGGCATAAATCAAATGATATTTGAAAAGCAAACATTTGAAAAAAATCACTTAATCTCTCTAAGTTACAACTCCTCATCTCTAAAATGAAAATGGTAATAAAAAGCTGTATTTATTTTTATAAGTATTTGCTGAGCCACTGATGGGAAAATATTTTGTGATATAAGCAATGAAATATTTTAAAATTCACTTTGGGAGGCCGAGGCAGGCAGATCATGAGATCAGGAGATTGAGACCATCCTGGCTAACATGGTGAAACCCCGTCTCTACTAAAAATACAAAAAATTAGCCAGGCGTGGTGGCAGGTAGCTGTAGTCCCCAGCTACTCTGGAGGCTGAGGCAGGAGAATGGCGTGAACCTGGGAGGCAAAACTTGCAGTGAGCCGAGATCGTGCCAATGCACTCCAGCCTGGGTGACAGAGCAAGACTCCATCCCAAAAATAAATAAATAAATAAATAATAAATATTGTGGAAAAATAAAATTTTAGGAATGCTTATCTCAATGTCTTACTTCATTTGGGCTGCTATAACAAGCATACCATAGACTGGGTGGCTTATAAACAACAGATTTATTTTTCACAGTTCTGCAGACTCTTAAGTCTAAGATCAAGGCACTGGTAGATTCAGTGTCTGGTGAGGACCTGCTTCCTAACATGTCTTTTATAAGGGCACTAATCCCATTCGTGAGAACTCTGTCCTCATTAGCTAATCACCTCTCAAAGGCCCTACCTCTTCTACTGTCACATTGGCAGTTAGGATTTGTTTTTTTTTTTTTAACTTTTATTATAGGTTCAGGGGTACATTTGCAGGTTTGTTATATAGGGAAATTCATGTCACTGGGATTTGATGTATAGATTATTTCGTCACCCAGATACTAAGCCTGGTACCCAATGTTTTTTTTTCTGCTACTCTCCCTACTTTTAACCGCCACCCTCTCGTAGGCCCCTGTGTCTATAGTTCCCGTCTTTGTGTCCATGTGTTCTCTTCATTTAGCTCCCACTGATAAGTAAGAACATGTGGTGTTCAGTTTTCTGTTCCTTTGTTAGCTTGCTAAAAATGATGGCCTCCAGCTCTATCCATGTCCCTGCAAAGGATGTGATCTTGTTCCTTTTTATGGCTGCATATTATTCTGTGTTGCATATGTACCACATTTTCTTTATCCAGTCTATTATTGATGGGCATTTAGGTTGATTCCATGTCTTTGCTATTATGAATAGTGCTGCAATGAACAAACATGTGCAAGTGACTTTATAATAGAAAGCTTTATATTCCTTTGGGT
Source organism: Homo sapiens (assembly GCF_000001405.40). Classification (NCBI taxonomy): domain Eukaryota; kingdom Metazoa; phylum Chordata; class Mammalia; order Primates; family Hominidae; genus Homo; species Homo sapiens. The sequence goes on from NC_000023.11 coordinate 34,121,968, forward strand.
ATAGAACCTGTAATAGGATTGTTGGGTTGAATAGTATTTCTCTCTCTGGGTTTTTGAGAAACCGCCACACTGTCTTCCACAATGTTTTAACTAATTTACACTCCTACCAACAGCATGAAACTGTTCCTTTTTCTCCACAATCTTGCCAGCATCTATTATGTTTTTACTTTTTAATAATAGACATTCTGTGTTGGCAACAGGCTGCCAAATCTGGCCGTAAACAGGCCCCCAAACTGGCCATAAACAAAATCTCTGCAACACTGTTACATGCTCCTGATGGCCATGACGCCCACGCTGAAAGTCGTTGGTTTACCAGAATGAGGGCAAGGAACACCTGGCCCACCCAGGGCGGAAAACTGCTTAAAGGCATTCCTAAACCACAAACAATAACATGAGCGATCTGTGCCTTAAGGACTTGTTCCTGCTGCAGATAACTAGCCAGAGCCCATCCCTTTGTTTCAGCCCATCCCTTTGTTTCCCATAAGGAATACTTGTAGTTAATCTATAATCTATAGAAACAATGCTTATCACTGGCTTGCTGTCAATAAATATGTGGGTAAATCTCTGTTTGAGGCTCTCAGCTCTGAAGTCTGTGAATCCCCTGATTTCCCACTCCACACTCAATATTTCTGTATGTGTGTCTTTAATTCCTCTAGCACCGCTGGGTTAGGATCTCCATGACTGGGCTGGTCTCGGCAATTCTGACTGGTGTGAGATGGTGTCTCATTGCAGTTTTGATTTGCATTTCTCTAATGATCAGTGATGCAGAGCTTTTTTCATATGCTTGTTTCATCATGTATGTTTTCTTTTGAGAAGTGTCTGTTCATGTCCTTTGCCCACTTTTTAATGGGGTTGTTTGTTTTTTCCTTGTGAATTTGTTAGTTCTTTATAGATGCTGGATATTAGACCTTTATCAGATGCATTGATTGAAAAATTTTATCAAATTCTGTAGGTTTTCTGTTTATTCTGTTGATAGTTTCTTTTGCTGTGCAGAAGCTTTGTAGTTTAATTAGATCCCATTTGTCAATTTTTGCTTTCATTGCGATTGCTTTTGGCATCTTTGTCATGAAATCTTTGCCTGTGCCTATGTCCTGATGGTATTGCCTAGGTTTTCTTCTAGGGTTTTTATAGTTTTACATTACATTTAAGTCTTTAATCCATCTTCATTTTTGTATATGGCTTAAGGAGAGGGTCCAGTTTCAATATTCTGCATATGGCTAGCCAATTCTCCCAGCACCATATATTAAAAAGGAAATCCTTTCCCCATCGCTTGTTTTTGTCAGGTTTGTTGAAGATCAGATGCTGGTAGGTGTGTGTTCTTATTTCTGGGTTCTCTATTCTGTTCCATTGATCTATATGTCTGCCCTTGTACCAGTACCACACTGTTTTGGTTACTGTAGCCTTGTAGTATAGTTTGAAGTCAGGTAGCATGATATCTCCAGATTATTTATTTATTTATTTATTTATTTATTTATTTATTGTGACAGAGTTTCACTCGTGTCACCCAGGCTGGAGTGCAATGGCTCAATCTCAGCTCACTGCAACCTCCACCTCCTTGGTTCAAGCAATTCTCCTGACTCAAACTCCCGAGTAGCTGGGATTACAGCTGCCCACCACCATGCCCAGCTAATTTTTGTATTTTTAGTAAAGTTTGGGATTCACCATGTTGGCCAGGCTGGTCTCGAACTCCTGATCTCAGGTGATCTGCCTGCCTTGGCCTCCCAAATTGCTGGGATTACAGGTATGAGTCACTGCGCCTGGCCCAGATTTATTCTTTTTGCTTAGCAGTGCTTTGGTTATTTGGGCTCTTCTGTGGTTACATATGAATTTTAAAATAGTATTTTTTTCTAGTTCTTTGAAGAATGTCAGTGGTGGCTTAATGGAAGTAGCATTGAATCTATAAATTGCTTTGGGCTGAATGACCATTTTAATAATATTTATTCTTCCTCTCCATGAGTATGGAATGTTTTTCCATTTGTCTGTGTCATCTCTTATTTCTTTGAGGATTGGTTTGTAGACCGCCTTGTAGAGATCCTTTAGCTCCCTTTTCAGCTATATTCCTAGGTAGTTTATTCATTTTGTGGTAATTGTGAATGGTAATTCATTCATGATTTAGTTCTCAGCTTGCCTGTTGTTGGTTTATAGGAAGGCTAACGATTTTTGCTCATTGATTTTGTATCTTGAGACTGTGGGGTTTTCTAGATATAGGGTCATGTCATCTGCAAACAAAGATAGTTTGACTTTCTCTCTTCCTGTTTGAATACCCTTTATTTCTTTCTCTTGCCTGACATTCCTGGCCAGAACTTCCAATACTATGTTGAATAGGAGTGGTGAGAGAGGGCGTCTTTGTCTTGTGCCTGTTTTCAAGGGGAATACTCTCAGCTTTTGCCTGTTCAGTATGATATTGGCTGTGGGTTTGACATATATGGATCATGTTATTTTGAGATATGTTCCTTCAATACCTAGTTTATTGACAGTTTTTAATATGAAGGGATGTTGAATTTTATCAAAAGCCTTTTCTGCATTCATTGAGATAATCATGTGGTTTTTGTCCTTAGTTCTGTTTACGTGATGAATCACATTTATTGATTTGCATATGTCAAACCAGTCTTGCATCCCAGGGATTAAGCTGACTTGAACATGGTGGATAAGCTTCTTGATGTGCTGCTGGATTCGGTTTGCCAGTATGTTGTTGGGGATTTTTACATCAATGTTCATCAAGAATATTTGTCTGAAATTTGTTGTTGTTGTTGTTGTTGTATCTCTGCAAGGTTTTGGTATCAGGATGATGCTGGCCTCATACAATGAGTTAGGGAGGAGTCCCTCCTTTTCAATTTTTTGGAATAGCTTCAGTAGGAATGGTACCAGCTCTTCTTTGTTAATCTGGTAGAATTCAGCTGTGAATCTGTGTTGTCCTGAAATTTTTCTGGTTGGTACACTATTTATTACTCCCTCAATTACAGAACTCATTATTGGTTTTTTCGGGTATTCAATTTCTTCCTGGTTCAGTCTTGGGAGAGTATATGTGTCCAGGAATTTATCCATTTCTTTTACATTTTCTAGTTTGTTTGCATAGAGGTGTTCATAATTGTCTCTGATGGTTATTTGTATTTCTGTGAGGTCTGTGGTAACAGCCCTTTTGTCATTTTTGACAAAACACACACACTCTGGCTTTTTGAGATGTCAGACTTCTTGCGCTGGTTCTTTCTCATCTTTGTGGGCTGATGTTTTTCAAATCTTTGAAGTTTCTGTACTGTGGATGGGCTATTTTTTTTTTTTTTTTTTACTTTCATCCTATTTGATGACCTTGGGGGATTGATTGTGATATAAAGTGGATTTGGTCAACTGGCTTCATGACTGGAAGATTTCCGGGGGCCAAGGCTCAGCTCAGAACTCCTGCCTGGATTGTATGCTGTAACTCAGGTAGACTGGTATCAGGCCCCAGCTTTGATCTCTGGCTCCTCGAGGTTAGGAACCTGTTGTACTGGAGGGGCTGAGGTGCTACCAGACCACTGGTCACAACATTCCAGTGAGTAGTGCCAGCCAAAGCACTTTACAGGGCTTTGACAGTGGGACCTGTCCTTGTTCCCATGTATCAGCAGCAGCTGCAGCAGCAGCATTGGAGGGTGCACACTTATCCATTTGCTGCAGCAGGGTTCTCATGGGTGCTGGGGTGCTAGCCTCGATATGGATATTTGCGGCAGCAGTGGTGGCAGTATGGCTTGGTGGGGTGAGGAGCCCCCACTGGGACTGTGTGCATGTCCCTGCAGGTGGAGGTTTTAGTGTGGAGGTGGGGCATCAGTGGGTGCAGGACTGTGTGCACCCTCTGTGCATGTTCATGCTGGCAGCAGTCTGCTCAAGGCTGGGGCTAGTCTACTGTTTTCCATGCCTAATTTTGCTCTGGTGGCCCAGGCTCAGGGGCAGGGTGCTGGCAGGGGTAGGGCTGGGGTGCTCTGAGCCCGCCAATGTTCTGAAGACAATGGCGGTGTGGGAGGTGGGAGGAAGGGTGAGGGGGCACACTCACGCTAGCAGCAGTGTCAAGGCAGGGTGCAGGAGTTCCAGTACCAGTGTGCTGGCAGGGAAGGGAAGGCTAGGTCTGCCTGGGCATACATGCACAGGCATAGCAATTTGGATGGCGACCATGGGTGCAAATGAGCTGTTGTGTGTCTGCAGAGATCACTGTGCTGAAGCACTCTGCCAGTCCGGTGTGGTCCACCAGCTGTGATGTGAGCCCCAGGAGGCACCTGGCAACTGTGCTGCAAACAGCCGTGGCCAGGCTGGGGACCTGCAGGAGTCCAACAGAATGAGAGGTGCTCTGGTTGTACTGGTCCTGCTTCATGGATAAGATTGTCCTATAGAGTTCAGGTCCAAAAGTTCCCTTAGGGCTAAATTCTCCTGTGGCAGCGATTCTAGCCTAGGGGGATGCACGTCTCTGAGAGTGCTCCACTACAGTTGCTCCCACAGGACACCCTCTGTGCTCTGCCCCCGGCTGGAGTTCTGCCCCCACCACTTCTCTAAGTAGCTTTCCCTGACAATGCAAGTGTCCATGGTAGTTGAGGGGTCTCCTCCTGCTGAGATTCCAAAGGCCCACAGTGAATTTGGGTTGCTCCTTGCCTTGGGTTGCCTGTTAAACGCATCCTCTTTGTCGGAGTCATTGGGGGCCAGGAACACGTTCCAGTGTGCAGTAGCCCTCGGAAGTGTTCCTAGCTTCGTCCACCTTCAGCCCAGCCTCTGTGTTTTCCCCCTGTCTGTTCTGCCTCTGACTAAAGCTACAGGATAAAAACATGACAGCACTGGGATATGAACTCATTTTTGCCTAGCTCCAAAGGCCTTGCTCATTCATGCAGACTCTCAGAAATGAAAAATGATTCCCTTCATCTTCGTTAAATCACATGTTCCTACAGACAAATTCTCCAAAGCTTTTATGAAACCTATGTGATGCTGCAATACAATCGATTACTACAGTATTTATGGAATATACCATTCATAGCTTTAGGCTACACAGGGACAATTATATACCAAGCTCTCTTGAATTCCATCTCTTTCTAAAACCTATGGATTTGAAGTCAGGATGATTTCAGAAGTCCAACTGGTGTTAAAAATCCAAATAGATCAAACATTGTTTCTTTTTATATCTGTGTGACAAGTAATACCAATGTGTGTAATTACAGTGTGGAGAAACCCACGTAATTTCTCTGAGGAAAGTTTATTTCACTGGAAGAAGTCATTGCCAATAAGCAATAGAAGCCCTAACCAGTGGCTCTTATTTTGCAATTAGACTTTTTCATCTTGATGTTAGTATATGTGCCGCCAAAGCAAGCACCACTTTTTCATCTTAAGCAAAGCCTAAGTTTGTGTGTAATATAGATGAAGGCTATTACCAGACAAACACCATCAAAAAGTCATTTTATTGGTGTCTTTCTGTTGTGATTTTTTTAGTACCTTTCTTTCTTTCCTACTCCCTCCTTTTCCACAAATATATGTTGAGTATCAATTCTGTGATGCTTGAGGCATTAGACACTTTAATAATAATCCTTTAAGTCTTGCCCGAATTTTAGTTTGATGATATGGTGTCCATTGTGTAGATGAGGATACATCCTCCGTGAAGTGCAAGGTCATACAACCAAATGTGGAAAAGTAGGTGGGTCTCTTGCTGAAAGGACCTTAACATTGAATGCTGCTGCATGAAGCCCAAGGCTTCAGTGGAGAACCTCAGAAACCAGATAACTCGGCTGGCCGGTTGCGGTGGCTCACGCCTATAATCCCAGTACTTTGGGAGGCTGAGGCAGTTGGATCACGAGGTCAGGAGTTCAAGACCAGCCTGGACAATATGGTGAAATCCCATCGCTAATAAAAATACAAAAATTATCCAGGAGTGGTGGCACGTGCCTGTAGTCCCAGCTGCTCGGGAGGCTGAGGAAGAAGAATCACTTGAACCTGGGAGGCGGAGGTCACAGTGAGCTGAGATCGTGCCACTGCACTCCAGCCTGGGCAAAAGAGCACGACTCCATCTCAAAAAAAAAAAAAAAAAAAAAGAAAGAAACCAGATAACTCTGAGCCATGAGGCATGACATTGGCCTCTCAGAAGTCTGAATAAATAAGTATGGAGATTTCCCTTATTTTGAAGGCATTAATGACTCATTTCTCTAGGGTATTGAAGTGAGTTCTCCAGTGGAAGACAACTGGAAAATGAGTGTCCTTGTCTACAGACTTAAGATCTTAATAAAAGTAATCATAAAATTGACCTTGGTGGGGAGACACTGAAACAGGATTACATGGCCTGAGTCAAGTCCTTACAAACAAGAAAGACACAGAGGTAAGAAAAGGAATATTGACTGGAGTCGGGAATGCAGGAGCATGTGTGTGTGTGCATGTGTTTGTGTTTATGTAACTAGATAAGTTTAGATGAGCCTGGAGAATTAACAAGTCATGCTTGTATTTCACAAAAATGCACTGAAGAAGAGACATGGGTTGGAAATTGTTGCAGATACAATAAGACATAGTGGTGACATGAACCATGAACCTAAGTTTATGATGATGAATTTGAAGAGAAATTCTAGGCCTTGCCTTAGAAAACAACATAAAAAACCTCGTTCTTCAGGAACACAACGCCCACAGACAAACTTCACTAGAAACAGAATTTGTACATAGACAGATGTATATATCACTCCTTACTTAGATGAAATATATGCATATGTGCTTCCATTTACAGATGGACTCTTTCATCACTGAAAGAAAAAGTGCACTTCAGATCTACACTACAAATATATTTAGATACAAATTTACCTCCACCAGTGTTACATGTTATTTTTGTAAGGTAAATAAGTTACTTGATTTATTATTTTAAACTTATGAGTGCATTTTAAATTGCTATGAATGAAATGAAAATTATTTGAACTTTATCAGATATGTAAGGATATTTGATGTTGCTTGGTAGCTTTTCTCATACAGATCCTATTTTACACATGAGATTTGCCAGGGAATTGAAGCTACCTCCTATTCTGCACCTGTTTATATGATTTGGTAATAGTCTTTTGTAGTGAAGGCTTATGAACATGGTGAAATACATATATTCTATTGAGAGATATGATAAAATGGCATAACTCAAGTTTCACCTATGATTTTGATAAGTAGTTTTCAAACTTGTTTTGGGGGTTTGATGGAATCCCAAATGGGAAGATAACAATTTTACTATTAACAAGTGTTAACATTATTTTGGCTATGGACTCCAATTTTGGTTAAAAAAATAATTGTCATAATTATTTCATTACAATTTTAATATAAGAAGGATATAATTCTCCTTTTACTCAGCACATTTTTTTTTTTTTTTTTGAGACAGGGTCTTGCTCTGTCACCCAGACTGGAGTGCAGTGGCAGGATCACGGCTCATTGCAGTCTCCACCTCCTGGGCTGAAGCTATCCTCCCACCTCAGCCCCCAGGTAGCTGGGACTACAAGGTACATGCCACCACACCTGGCTAATTTTTGGATTTTTTTATAGAGACCAGGTTTCACTATGTTTCCCAGGCTGGTCTTGAACTCCTGGGCTCAAGCAATCCACCCACCTGGGCCTCCCAAAGCGGGGAGGATTACAGGCATGAGCAAATGTGCCCGACCCTATTTCTCTTTTAAAGAATAATTCTAATAATAATAATTTCTGGTTTTATGTATTTTTACAAATAATTGACATGATGATGTAATATTCACAATGCTTCAACAATGTGAAAAAGTATATGTGAATATTAATCACATAATTGATAAAATATATGAAATAATGAAGCCAAAGCAGTTCATTAAGAAATATTGATAAACATTAGGTATTGAATTTACAGATGTTGCCAAAGTTGTGCATCCACGGGGCCAGTCATCATAAATTATGATTGATGATTAAAATGAGAGCAAGAAATACCCAATTGAGTAGTAAATTGAAAACTGCCTAATCTTCTTCCGATGCCTCTACGATTTCTTTGTACTTGTAAAATATCATTGCACGTTGAATAGGAGTCTTAACAGAGTCATAAGTCCATCCCCTCCTGGCAAACAGCCTTTGAATGATGCCAGGCATTTCATAGCCCTTGCTTAGAATGAAATCCTTAAAGGCAATTGGTCCATAAAGATCGTCAAGAACGTCAGGTTCATCAGGCTTTTTAAGTAAGAGCTTGGGGTCAATCAAAGGTTCATCACTTCTTAGCTTTTTCCACAACTTAGGCTTGAGGTACCATGCTCCATACTTCATCTTCACACGCTGTGCGGTATAAGAATTCGATGGCGTGTGGAATTTCCTGCCCCAGTATTTTTCCTGTGAGAAGAATTTGTCCTCATCCTTTTCATCTAGCTCCATGCTGTACTTCAGCTCTGAGGAACACTCCTTTACTTTCTTAAACTTTTGGTCCTCATGGGTTGCTCTGTACTTGGGGGTAAAGTCAAACAGATTCCTGATGGATTCTTCATCAGCTCCCAGGTCTCCAGCCCACTTGAAGAATTCACGGAGTTTTTCCGATGTGTATCTATATTGAAGAGAGTCAGAAACGCACTCTTTTGTGCTTGGTGTATCTTCCTGAAGCAGTTCTTTTATGTAGGATGCTCGAATCTTGGGAGGCTCCGAGAATTGATGGGACTCTGGAGCTTTGGGAGGCTCCGGGTGGAGACTGGACACCCGACGACTCTTGGGAAGCTCCGGGCGGAGACTGGACACTCGACGAGTCTTGGGAGGCTCCGGACCGAGACTGGACGTCCGACGAGTCTTGGGAGGCTCCGAGCGGAGACTGGACGTCCGACGAGTCTTGGGAGGCTCCGAGCGGAGACTGGACGTCCGACGAGTCTTGGGAGGCTGCGAGTGGAGACTGGACCTCCGACGTGTCTTGGGATGTTCCGGGTGGGGATGGGACACCTGAGTCTCGGGAGGCTGCAGGCAGGGTTCCCCACAAGGGGATTTATGAGGCTCGGTGGGTTCCTTAGTTTTCTTCACCCGGGCCTCACAACGATCCCATACGTCCTTCAGCGTCCTCCCAGAATCCAGCACTTTCAGTATGTATAGTAGGAGATTGGACACCTGACTAGTGTCGGGAGGTTCCAGGCGGAGATGGCACACTCCAGTCTTGGGAGGCACTGGGTGGAGATGAGACACTTCAGTCTTGGGAGGCTCCGGGCTGAGATGGGACACTCCAGTCTTGGAAGGCTCCGCGTGGAGACTGGACCCCCGACGAGTCTTGGGAGGCGCTAGGCGGAGACGGGACACTCCAGTCTCGGAAGGCTCCGAGCGGAGACTGGACCCCCGACGAGTCTTGGAATGCTCTAGGCGGAGATGGGACTCTCCAGTCTCCGGAGGCTCCGGGCGGAGACTGGACACCGGAGTCTTGGGAGGCTCCTGGCGGAGATGGGACAGTGGAGTCTCGAAAGGCCGAGGACAGAATTTCCCACAAGGGTATTTACCAGGCTCTGTGGGTTCGTCAGTTGTCTTCTCCCGGCCCTCACAAGGAGCCCGTGCGTCTTCCAGCTTCCTCTCAGAATCCAGTTTCAGCAGCTGTCGTAGGAGACTGGATCTCCGACGAGTGATGGGAGGCCCCGGGCGGATATGGGACACTCCAGTCTCTGGAGGCTCCGGGCGGAGATGGGACACTCCAGTCTCAGGAGGCTCCGGGCGGAGACTGGACACCGGAGTCTTGGGAGGCTCCGGGCTTAGATGGGACACTCCAGTCTCGGGAGGCTCTGGGAGGAGATGGGACACCGGAGTCTCGGGAGGCTTCAGGCAGAATTCCCCACAGGGATGTTTACCAGGCTCAGTGGGTACCTCTGTTGTCTTCTCCTGGGTCTCACAACAAGCCCAAGCGTCCTCCAGCTCCCTCTCAGGATCCAGGTGTTTCAGCACCTGTAGTAGGAGATCTGGAGGCATATCTTCTCCCAGATTGGGGTACATGGCCAAGGGATGCTTGGCCATTAGCTGGGCTTCCACTTGCTCTACGAACGCCTTCCGTGCTAGCTGGGCTGGAGAGAGCTTGGAAAATAGGGCCGCTTTCTTGAGCAGCTTTTTCTGCCCGCTTTTGGGGTCAGCTTGGGGACCTCTGAGAGATATTTTGGGGAGTAAAAACTCGTCACGGCGACAAACGAGAGTATCTTCGGGAGACGGACAGCCGTAGCGGAAGTCGTCCATGCCCTCCTTCACAAATACCCAGTTCTGGGTGTCCATGGGTGGGAACCTCAGGCGCCTGTGCTTGCACTTCGCGAAGCACTTGGAAGGCCGTTTGTTACAGTACCAGGGCTTGGAGTCCATGCCCGGGGACCTCAGCCAGTCCTGCAGCCTCTGGTCCCCCATGGTGGCCCTCGCTGTGGTGCCACGTCTCCAGCTTCTGAGGTCCCAGATCCCTGCCGCTCTAGTCGCTAGGAGACCGCCAGCCACGCGCAGCCCAGGTTCCTTCCTGGAGGCGGAGCAGCGCTGACGCCACCTGCGCAGCCCAGATTCTAACAGGTGTGTAGTGGAATCTCATTCCGGGTTTCATTTGCGTTTCCTAATGACTACTGATATTGAACATCTCTATATTTGCTTATTTGCCATCCTTATCTCTCCTTGGTTGAAGTTTCTGTGGATTTTTTCCCCATTTTTAAATTGTGTTTCTGGATATCATATTTAGTTTTGAGAATACTTGCTGTGTTCTAGATGTAAATAGGTTATCGGATATATGATTTGCAAATTTTTCACTTCATCCTTGGCTTTTCCCTTTCATTGTCTTAACAGTGTCAAAGAGAAGTTTTTTTAATTTGATGAAGTCCAATTTATCAGTTTGTTCTTTTATGGATTGTGCTTCTTTTGATGTATCTATGAAAACTTGGCCTATCCAAAGGTCAAGGTTTTAATTTTTGTAAACAGCACAAGATATAGATCAAAGTTTTTATTTAAAAATGTACCTATTGCTTACATATATCTGATAATTTTAGAACTATTTTTGTAAAGACTAAATTTTTCTCCGCTGAATTACATTTGGAAATTGGTAGAATATCAGTTGTGTATGTTTTTTGAAGGTCAATTTCTGGACACTCTTTTCTCTTCCATTGATTTTTCTCTCACACAAATTTCCCATTCTGTTGGTTACTTTAGCTTTATAATAAATCTAGAAATTAGGCTGTATTAGTCCTTTAACAATGTTCTTTTACAAAGTTAGTTTTTCCTAGGTCCTTTGAATTTCTATAGAAATTTTAAAGTCAGTTTGTCAACGTCAAAAAAAAAAAAAAGTCCTGTTGGGAATTTGATTAGGATTTTGTTGAATCTATAGATCAATTTGAGGATAATTGGCATGTTAACAATAGGAAATCTGACCACTGAGAAATGTACAGCTTTCTATTTGTTTACGTGATTTTTCATTTTCTCAGGAATATTGTGTGTTTTTTAGTGTATGTGCCTTTCACATCTTTTTCTCTCCAGATTTTTCCTAAATATTGTTTTTCATACTATTATATGTAGTATTTTTAGTTGCAATTTCCAATTTTTTGTTGTTAGCATATATAAATATTGATGTTTGTATATCCATTGGTATCATACAACCTTGGAAAATTCACTCATTATGTTCAGAAGCATTTTTGTATATTTCATTGAATTTTCTATATATATGATAGTGTCATCTGTGAATAAAGACAGTTTCCCTTCTTCCTTTCCAATCTGAATATCGTTATACCTCCACCAGTCCAGTTGCAACCCTTCATTTTCCTTTAAATAATATCAGTTAAATTTTTATCTCTCTTATAGTGCTTAAAACAACGCTATGAAAAGCATTTTTATAAAAAATTTTAATTATAGACAAATTCAGCCTGCATTATTCCTTAAGCATACCATTTTCTCATCACATAATAATTTTTTCTGTACATTCTTACTCATTTTTAAAAGAAGGTTTCTTACTTCCCTTGTTAGGTGCAGCTGAACAATGTTTTCTACCATTACAAGCAGGTATACCCTAGTTCCTCCTTGTAAATGAGGTACGATCAATGCCTCTCTTGGTTTTGGCTCCTCCTCTGTAAAATAGACACAATATATATTCCTCTTAGGTTTCTCATTAAATCAAAGAACTAGATTATGTGTAAATCAAAATAATCTATATAACATGACTTTGTATAGTGTCTGGAACAGAATAAGCATCCTCTAAAATCTTGTTAATTTATATGGTATTACTACAGTTTGAAAATAAAAATATTCTACATTTGATGTCTATATAAAGGAAAAGCAACATCGTACATTTACATATCACAAATATTTTCATTTATTGATTATAAGAATCTATGTTAAAGTCTCAAGGTATTTAGTAGATTTCATAATGTGATGTTGGTAAGACCAAATTTGATATGGATTTATTTTTAACTTTCTTTTTTTTTTTCCTTTTTTATTTTTATTATACTTTAAGTTCTAGGGTACATGTGCACAACGTGCAGGTTTCTTACATATGTATACATGTGCCATGTTGCTGTGCTGCACCCATTAACTCGTCATTTACATTAGGTATATCTCCTAATGCTATCCCTCCCCCATCCCCCCACTCCATGACAGGCCACCGTGTGTGATGTTTCCCTTCCTGTGTCCAAGTGTTTGCATTGTTCAGTTCCCATCTATGAGTGAGAACATGCGGTGTTTGGTTTTTTGTCCTTGTGATAGTTTGCTGAGAATGATGGTTTCCAGCTTCATCCATGTCCCTACAAAGGACATTAACTCATCCTTTGTTATGACTGCATAGTATTCTATGGTGTATATGTGCCACATTTTCTTAATCCAGTCTATCTTTGATGGACATTTGGGTTGGTTCCAAGTCTTTGGTATTGTGAATAGTGCCGCAATGAACATACGTGTGCATGTGTCTTTATAGCAGCATGATTTATAATCCTTTGGGTATATACCCAGCAATGAGATGGCTGGGTCAAATGGTATTTCTAGTTCTAGATCCTTGAGGAATCACCACACTGTCTTCCACAATGGTTGAACTAGTTTACAGTCCCACCAACAATGTAAAAGTGTTCCTATTTCTCCACATCCTCTCCAGCACCTGTTGTTTCCTGACTTTTGAATGATCGCCATTCTACCTGGTGTGAGATGGTATCTCATTGTGGTTTTGATTTGCATTTCTCTGATGGCCAGTGATGATGAGCATTTTTTCATGTGTCTTTTGGCTGCATAAATGTCTTCCTTTGAGAAGTGTCTGTTCCTATCCTTTGCCCACTTTTTGATGGGGTTGTTTGTTTTTTTCTTATAAATTTGTTTGAGTTCTTTGTAGATTCTGGATATTAGCCCTTTGTCAGATGAGTAGATTGCAAACATTTTCTCCCATTCTGTAGGTTGCCTGTTCACTCTGATGGTAGTTTCTTTTGCTGTGCAGAAGCTCTTTAGTTTAATAGAAAAATTCCATGGACTGTATGTTACATTCAAGAGCCAATGCTTCAACAATTCTCTATAACAATACTCTAACTAGCAAGCTCATGTGAGTACTCACTTATCTAAAATGCATGAGAGTTTGAAAAAGTCTTCTATATTCCAAATAATCCCAGAAAAAAACATGTATTTAATCTCCTAAAGTTCAATTGCGCCTATATAAAATTTTTCATGTGACTGTTCATTAAAACAGTTTTTGTTCCTTAAAGCCACTTCATTTTTTTCACTTTTCACAGTAGAATATTATACAAGGGACTCACATCTAGAATACATAAATAATTCTTAAAACTTAATAAGAAAACAAAGAACAGAAAACAAAAAATGTATAATACACAGTAGTTTAACATATAGAGGTATATAGCTAAAGAAATAATTATAGATGTGTGTACATATTGGTTAGTATACATGCTTATGTTTTATAGCTCTGTCTCTGCTGAGAAACTAGAAAAAAATGACACCCAAGTAACAAGTACATCCAGTGCCCAAATCTTGGTTTCTAAATACCATTCTCTAAAATAACAAAAGCAAAACAAAACAGAGATATCCTTGGAGAAATGAGTAATTCTAGGCCTGGGGCAGTGAAAACACAAGATTAGCCTGGAGTATTATGTAATGCCAGAAAATATGGAAGTTCTCAGAAAACAAAAGAATAGAAGCAGATCAGGAGCCAAACTGAAAGGGCACTCAATGGCCAAAGTTAAAACAATTTAGGCAACAAAATGAATTAAAATTTAAAAATTATAACACAATATAAAATAAAATATCCATGAGTCCATACTGATATAAATAATTGTACAAATAAATAAATGAGGAAAAAGGTACAAATATTTTTACAAAGAATTTCAGAAAATGTACAGGGATACTCCTCCCTTCAGGAGGTGGAAGTTAATTGTCCTCCCCAGGGTGTGAGCTGGATTCTAAACAGTAAAATATGGAATGGGAAAAAATAGTGACCTTTTAGTGGAGAAGCCTGGCGGTTCTCTCCTTAAGCAAGTGATCAATGTTAATATCAGCAGTGAGAGGTCGCATTGGTATCATGCACTTCTCTGATAGGATGTGATGAGAAAGACACTTCACTTCTGTAGTATTCTCCCCTAAATTCCGGAATCCTAGTCTAATGAGGAGAAAACATCTAACAAACTCAAGTCCAGGGACATTTTACAAAGTTCTCAAGTACTCCTCAAAACCATAAAGGTCATGGGAAACAAGTAAAGACTGAGAACCGGTCATAGACTTTAGATTAAAGAGACAGGAAAACTAAATTCAATGTGGCAGGCTGGGTTGGATCCTGGCACTGAAAAAGGACATGGGCGTAAAAAATCTCCAAATCTGAATTAAGTCTGAAGTTTAGTTAATAGTAATATTTCAATGTTAATTTTTTAGTTTAAATGCATGTACAATGTAAGATATTAATTTTAGGGGAAGCTGAGTGAAATGTGCATGAAAATGCTTTGTACAGCCTTTGCAAATGTTTCATAAATCTGAAATTATTCTAAAATAAAAGGTTTCCATTTTAAACAATAGATTGCATCATGATGAATTATCAACAAATCACTATTAATCATACAAGAGAGAAAGCTGTAGCTTCTTTAAAATGCATACTTGTTGTCCCCCCCGCATATACAGTAAATCATATTTTTTTTCTAAGTGGAGCCAGTAATCTACATTTCACATGGTCTTTAAATTATACACACCAATATGTAAGAGTTACTTTTCTAAAGCCCTTTGCCTTTTATAGGTCCCAAAGACTTTCAAAGAGATTAAAAACCACAGTAGTAATGGTATCATCCAAAGTAACCAAATTTGGGGAAAATGAAATTTCTGCATATACTAGATGGAGCCTGAGAACGGAATAATTCCCTTAGGTAACATGCACATACCTGGTGGGCCCACAGGTTAATGAAGTCATGATAGAAGAGTAAAGAAGATACAAAGTTTGGTGACTGACAGTGAAAAAAAAAAAAAAAAACTAGGAGTGAAAGCAACTTACTCGTGCAAACTGCCCTTCTTGAGTTGAAGAAAACTGACATCACTGTAGAGTGCAGAGAAATTACAACTGGCCTGTTCAGTCAAGAAGCACCAACTGCCTTAGTATGAAGTGTTACTCCAGAAATGAATAGTGTAGCTGACAAGCAAAACCAACACCAACAAGCTAATAAAGAAATGTTCAAGCAAGTCAAAATGCTCTGAGTGGAGCAGCATGTAATGAATAAGCAAACAAGGGAATGAGAACAAACAATGAAAATCAATGCGATGAAGTGCATTGGTTTAATGGAGCCTAAGTATTCCCAGTTCTGACATCTTTGTGTGCCTCTGACTGCTCTTAGTTACCTACAACCTTTACTGCATACTTAACTCAGGACACCATTTTCATGCTCCAGCAGACTCCAGTTATCTGCAACCTTGCTGTCTCTTCCACCCACACGCGGCACCTGCCAGCCTTTCTCAGATACCCAATCTTGTTCACTCTGATCCAACCGTCTTTGGAATTCTTTTGTTTTCATTAGCTCTTGCTAAGTTTGCTTTCTGTGATGGTTGATTTTCTGTGTCAACATGGCTAGGCTATGGTGCCCAAATATTTGGTCAAACAGTCTAGATGTTGCTGTGAAGGTATTTTTTGGATGTGATTTAACATTTTATATAGTAGATTTTGAGTAAATCAGATTTACCCTCCATAGGAGGCGTGAGCATCATCCAATCAGTTGAAGGCTTTCAGGAAAAACACAAAATTCTCCAAAGAAGATGGAATTCTCCCTCCAGACTGAAACACAGGAATCTGTTTGAGTTTCCAGCCATCGGAATCAGGACTGCAACATCAACTTTTGCCTGAATTTCTAACCCACAACCAGCTCTACAGACTTCGGATTTGCCAACCCCCGCAGTCACGTGAATGAATTCCTTTAAATTTCCCTCTCTCTCTCTCTCTCTCTATGTATATATATATATAATATATAAATTATATATATTATATATATTTATATATAGGATAATAGGAAATAGTTGAATATATAGAATATAGAAATAATAGGATATATTTCCTATTATATAATATATGTAATAGGATATATAATATATAATGCATAATAGGATATATATATTATATAATAGGAAATAATAGGATATATATTATATATTAGATATTTATATATAATATATAGGATATATATTATATATTATATATTTATATATAATATATAGGATATATATAATATATATATCCTATTATTTCTATATTCTATGTATTCAACTATTTCCTATTATCCTATATGTCACCCTCCGCTCGCTCGCTCTCTCTACATATATGTAAAATAATAGGAGATATGTATAACTCCTATTATTTTCTTATCTTTCTGGAGAAATCTGATGAATACACTATTCATTTTGATCATTTTTCTACCAGTAACAATGTACTTGTCTTATAATGAGACACACTGCAGCAATTTTACCACTGCTACACCCACTGATAGTTTTTCTCAGCAAGGTATAAAATATAGTTAAGGCCTAAGAAATAATAGACTTAAAGATTTCCATTTTGTTCTTTGAATAAAAATGCATAGAAGAATTATTCCATACCTTGGCTGAATTATCAGAATCACTTGTGGCACATCTTAAAAGTATATATGCCAAGGCTCTGCCCTGAGCTTGCTGAATCAAAATTCCTCCCATTGATAATGATTCACAGTCAAGGGCTGAAATCCCTGGATACATAGTAATTTGATCACAGTATCTCAGACAGGATATAGTCCAGCTCTACTGATATTAATAAAGAACTTGAGGCGAAAAGAGAACAAATGAATTACACAAGTTCTCAAAAAGTAAAAATGAACAATGTCAGGCTAGTATTTTTATATTTCTAGAAGATTCACTCTATTTCCTTGTATAGATCAATTATACAAAAATATGACAGTATTCCTGTCTCCTTGCATGCATATGTATCACCTGGTCCATTCAATTCACAAATATAAATAGAATGTAATATTTAGAAAATAATCGAGCAGACGCAGCTCTGTTTTATAAGGTGGTTCAGCTACAAATGAAATTATCTAGTATATAATTAGAGGACAACAAATGGCTAAAATCTTCGCAATTTTGTTTATGGTTAAAGTAATAAAACTTTGAGGACAGGTAAATGTTACTGTGTCATATCCTCTGATTTAATCAAAAAACACTGGTCTCACTTTCCTATTGATGGAATTTTGGTAGATGCATTCAACAAGCTGTCATAAATCTTAGCTTATTTCCTAGTAGCTAGCAAAAAAAAAAAATCCAGAATCGCTTCATATCATGGGTGTGAATAATGTAGAATAATCAATAATCTTGGTTGTCCACGAGTGCTGTCTTAATCTTATTCTTTGGCTTCGAATGCAACATTTGCGTCTTTTACAGAATTCAAAATTTACAGAGTATTGTACACATACACACATGACCAGCTAAAAGCCATGTTCTCAGTAGTGTCCACTTTACCTGGCTAATGTCCAACGTGTGACGAGCAGGCAAAAATATGCAATATTAGTATTATTTACAGACAGATTGTTACAATTTTAACCGCAATTTTGAAATACGGGCTGTTAATTCTATGTTAAAACCACAGCTCTTAAAAATAACATGCATATACACACATATATTCATACCACAATTCACATAAAGGTCCAAAGTTTAGCTAGTTTTAACGTTAGTGATCAAAGCCTAATATGTATAGGCAAATGTATGTACACAATACACGTGTGAACACACCACAGTTTTCTAAGATATTATTGAACCTGTAACAAAGTGTTGAGTTGTGATTTTATAAAAATAGTTCTATTATATTATTACCTTTGTGCTCATCTGACACAACAGTACTCCTTCAAAGAGTCTGAAGGGTATGCTACATCAGCCAGCTATGTAACAGCCTTATAATGCCAAGTGTCCTGTACAGAGGTTTACTCCAATGAACTGGCTTAATTTAGAATGTAATCTAACCAATTATATTTAATAGCATGGCTAGGAAAATCAGCCCCATAGTCTAAAAACCGGTGTCTCCGGGAAAAAAGGAAGTGGACTTTCCTTTTATGTTCTACCTCTTAGAAGGTATAGGAATCACAATATTCTATGCAAAACCAGAGATATTCGCTACCTCTGATCCTTTCCTTTGCTCCTTTTACATTTATAACAAATGAATAAGCTGAACGTGATTTTTCATTTTGTAGCTGCAATCTCTGTAGACAAACTGATCAACTGAAATACTTACACTGATTTGATCAACATATTTATCAATGAATAAGGATTTAGGAAGTTATTTTCATGATTTGGACAGTTGTGCACCTGGATTCATTTAGAAACTATTGTCTTTTTCTAAATGTTAGAGATGTTTAATGTGGGGAAGAAAAACTTAAGGAAGGAGACCCACATGGAGGAAATTGCATTTTTCTCTATAGCATAATTCAGGGATACATTGGATTACAGGCCAGAGTGATGATTTGGAAGGAACTAAAAGCACTGATATTTGATAGAGACCTGGTGAACTAAGGAAGCAATTCTAAATAGATTATTTTGGATGTGAAACAGATATTTCCAGTCATCATTGCAGTTTTTAGTCCTTGACAGTGATTTAAGGTCTGAGGAATGCTAAGCAATGTTGCAACACCTGCATGTACATATGCCCTGCACAATCATATGCCCTGCTACCAGTAGCTGCTCTCAGCACAGCTTTCCTCTTTCACCCCAAGCCAAGGAATTTGCCATACCTGCAGGCAGTCAAAGTGAAGAGGGTTGCCTTTTAAGAATTATTTTTCATAGTTCCCTTCTCAATTTTCAGTTTCAACAGCCTCTTCCCATTCAAATTGTCTGCGTTTGCCTCACCTTCCTTCTCAAACCACCAGTTCCTTTACAATGCATCTTCAACTTAGGTTATATAAAGAAATGCTAGGCTTTGTCTTTGCACACAAATTCCTCTTTGAGTATACCTATGCTGTATAAATTCATATTACTGCTTGAGTATACATATGCTGTATAAATTTGTATTACTGCCATTCGTTTCAAGAATCACCTCTTTCCTGGCAGGAGAAAATCAATAGATAAGATTACTAATGAGACTGGAGTCCTACTGCCTCCAGCACTTAGCAGATTATGAATAAGCCTTTCCTCATGGATTGTTTGTCATGTAAGAAAGCATAACTGAATAGCACCGTACACATAAGCAAAAGTGAAATGTTAATAATATTTCTACCTAAAGTGTATCATATTAATTCATATTAAAATAAATGAGATTTACAATCATATTGGCAGGAATCTACTAAAAGTAATATACTTTCTAGAAATTTGAAACTCCCTAAATAGATGTAACTGTCCTTGAATATTAAAAGACGTACTGGGAAAATGGCAAAAGACTCCAAGAAACCAAGTCAAAATCATATTGTTTATTTTTCATGTATGAACAAGAATTGAAGAATGAAAAGCTCAGAAGGAAGGTAATAAATGTAAATAATACATAGGAAACATTTTACAAAACTTTTACTTTTGTAAATTGTGCGTTTCACTGAGTTTTAACATTAGTTGGTTAAAGTCCTTATCATATTTTTATGAAAGGTGAAGTCAACAAATAAACCATTGAGAATGTGGAAGAAAAGTTCAGAAAATTAAAAACTCAGAGGCCATTACTCATGTCAACTTATAAAAATAATGATCACATTAAACATAACTTACTCTCTTAACATACTGGGTTAATATCGTAGTAGCTTATGGAATCATAGGGAAAGGTTTTGCAAGGATTATGCTTTTCTCCTAGCATGTTAGGAAAAATTTACACTGGATTTTGGTGAAGCAAAATATGTATACTTTCAACCAAGATATTCCGGGTCTTTAG
Source organism: Homo sapiens (assembly GCF_000001405.40). Taxonomy (NCBI): domain Eukaryota; kingdom Metazoa; phylum Chordata; class Mammalia; order Primates; family Hominidae; genus Homo; species Homo sapiens. The sequence continues at coordinate 34,142,213 of NC_000023.11, forward strand.
GCTAAGTAACATAATTACATCAAATCTATTTTTCCATAAAATTTACCACTATATGTAGGAGAAGATATAAGAACTTCTGTAGCAATTTCTGTGTTTGTGACAATAGAAGTAAAAATAGCAAAGAAAATATTATTGAATATATTTTAATAATTTAAAGTAAATATATTAGCACATATTTTATAGATTATCAATTTATTAGCAACTAACATATTTATTCATCCTATATATAGGATCAGTTATATATATATATATATATATATATAGAGAGAGAGAGAGAGAGAGAGAGAGAGAGAGAGAGAGAGAGAGAGAGAGACAATGGACATATATATTTTCTTTTTTTTAAATTTTATTTATTTGCTTTAAGTTCTGGAATACATGTGCTGAACGTGCAGGTTTGTTACATACGTATACATGTGCCACGGTGGTTTGCTGCACCTATCAACCCATCATCTAGGTTTTAAGCTATGCATGCATTGGGTATTTGTCCTAATGCTCTCCCTCACCTTTCCCCCTACCCTCTGACAGGCCCTGTTGTGTGATGTTCCCCTCCCTGTGTCCATGTGTTCTCATTGTTCAACTCCCACTTATGAGTGAGAACACGCAGTGTTTGGTTTTCTGTTCCTGTGTTAGTTTGCTGAGGATAGTGGTTTCCATCTTCATCCATACCCCTGCAAAGGACATGAATTCATTCTTTTTTATGGCTGCATAGCGTTCCATGATGTATATGTGCCACATTTTCTTTATCCAGTCTATCATTGATGGGTATTTGGGTTGGTTCCAAGTATTTGCTATCATAACTAGTGCTGCAATAAACATACATGTGCATGTGTCTTTATAGTAGAATTATTTACATTCCTTTGGGTATGTACCCAGTAATGGGATTGCTGTGTCAAATGGTATTTCTGGTTCTAGATCCTTGAGGAATCACCACACTGTCTTCCACAATGTTTGAACTAGTTTACACTCCCACCAGCAGTGTAAAAGCATTCTTATTTCTCCACATCCTCGCCATCATCTGTTGTTTCCAGACTTTTTAATGATCGCCATTCTAACTGGCGTGAGATGGTATCTCATTGTGGTTTTGATTTGCATTTCTCTAATGACCAGTGATAATGAGCTTGTTTTCATGTTTGGTGGCCGCATAAATGTCTTCTTTTGAGAAGTGTCTGTTCATATCCTTCGCCCACTTTTCGATGGGGTTGTTTTTATCTTGTAAATTTGTTTAAGTTCCTTATAAATTCTGGATATTAGCCCTTTGTCAGATGGATTGATTGCAAAAATGTTCTCCCATTCTGTAGGTTGCCTGTTCACTCTGGTGATAATTTCTTTTGCTGTGCAGAAGCTCTCTAGTTATTTAGATCCCATTTGTCAATTTTGGGTTTTGTAGCAATTGCTTTTGGTGTTTTAGTCATGAAGTCTTTGCCCATGCCTATGTCCTGAATGGTATTGCCTAGCTTTTATTCTAGGGTTTTTATGGTTTTAGATTTTATGTTTAAGTCTTTAATCCATCTTGAGTTGATTTTTGTGTAAAGTGTAAGGAAGGGGTCCAGTTTCTGTTTTTTGCGTATGGGTAGCCAGGTTTCCCAGCACCATTTATTAAATAGGGAATCCTTTCCCTATTGCTTTTGTCAGATGTGTATATATATATATATATATATATATATATATATATATATATATATATCTGTCATATATATATATCTGTCATATATATATCTGACATATATATCTGTCATATATATATCTGTCATATATATGTCATATATATATCTGTCATATATATATATCTGTCATATATATATATCTGTCATATATATATCTGTCATACATAAATATATATATCTGTCATATATATATATATATATATATATATATATATATATTCTATTGGCAAAGAAAATGAACCAAAACAGGCTCCTGGGCCCATGAGATTAAAGCCAATGTCTGTTGCAATCATTTGGCATTTAGCACAAAGACTAAGATACATTAAGTCCTCAAAAAATAATTATTGAATACCAGATGTGTTCATGCCATTAAAATTCAGTATGCTATATCTGTATTTGATAATCCCATAGATCTTTTCTTGTGTTACATCTAAATGAAAAATTACTCTAAGCATTTTCAGGATTATCTCGATCTCTTTACAGTTCAATACAGCCACAAAAATTCAGTGTTCTTATTTGGATGTGTGTTTTCAATCCTGCTAAGTGAGATTGCTGCCAGATGGCATTTCTTAGTGTAAAAATGAAGTTGTCTCATGTTCACCCATATGGTCATGTTGGCTTATTTTACCAGCTGCAAAGTGATGATTAGGAAAGGAATAATATATTAACAGAAGGAAACTGCAGCACCTTCAGTTATTGAAGTTCTCGAGACTCTTTATTGTAATTTATGAAAGAAATCAAACTTCATCAGAATAAAGTATCACTTTACGTTTCACAACTTCATAAAAAAGAACTTGACTGGACAATATTTAAAGGATGGCTTACATTTCCTGAAAGAAAAATTACATTATGAATCATTATGTAAAATAAGGTGTGTCAAACATTTCAGTAAAAAAGAGTGCTCAAGAATGAAGATACTCCAAGTATATCAGGGTATATAGGCATGGCACATTCAAAAGAAAACTTGCACCACAGAAACTAGGTCTATTCTCAGCGAGAAGTGATTGTGTTTAAGACAAAAAACACAATGTGAAATACAATAGAAATTTCTTAGTTTTTACTTTTACAGTTTTATTTCTAATACTTATAAATTGTTTATTTTACAGGTATAAAAACATACCTTTAAGCATACACATTTTTATACTAGTTTTATCTCAGTGAATATTAAAATTATAAGAATTTCTCAACATTGAGTGTCACTGATTCTTTTTTCTTCCAAAGGAAACACTGTTTAAATAAATAATCAACGTCCACTGCCACTCATTGTTTAAATTTGGAGAAATAATAAGACTAAAACTTTTAACAGGCTGATCAATCCTTTAAATAATATTTTTGAACCCTTACTATGTGGAATTGATCATTGAGCCAATTACACACAGTCTTTGTCCTAGAGGAGTTCATGGTCCTGCAAAACTTTCCAAACTACGTAGGGAGGAATACAACTAAGAGTGTCACTGTCTGCTATTTACAAGTTGTGAGCTCAAAAGATGTGGAAACAATCTAAATGTCCATCAACAGAGGCACGGAAAAAGAAAACGTGGGATATACATACAATAAATTACCATTCAGCCTTTAAAAAGAAAAAATTCCACATATAGATGAACCTGGAAGACATTATGCCAAATGATTGCAACGGATTGCTAAGCGACATAAACCAGTAATGAAAAAGATAAACACTGCATGATTCCACTTATATGGGGTATCAAAAATAGTCAAATTCATAGAATCAAGGAATAGAATGATGGTTGCCAAGGGCTGGGGGAGAAGGCAACGGGAGTTACTAATCCATGGTTACAAGGTTTCCATTGATCAAGATGAATAAACTTTACCAGTGTGGTGGTACCCAGCTACTCGGGAGGCTGAGGCACGAGAATCACTTGAACCTGGGGAGGTGGAGGGTGCAGTGAGCCAAGATGGGGCCACTGCACTCCAGCCTGGGCAACAGAGTGAGACTCTGTCTCAAAAACAAAAAACGAAGAAAATGAAACAAACAAACAAAAAACCAAAGGGAGGGAAACAAAGAAAAAAGAAAAAAAATGAACTCTTAAAATCTGCAGCACATCATTGCAACTATCATACTCTACTGTCTATCATACTCTACTGTGCACTAAAAAATATGTTAGAGTAGGTCTCATGTTAAGTGTTCATACCAGTAAAATTTTAAAAAGTGTGTTTTAGTATGTTACAAATGCTCTAATTCACAATTTATTTATCTGTAAGATATGGGTGATAATAATAAAAATTAATTCAGAATGTTTCTGTGATAATGAAATAATTAATATAGAGTGAACAGCCCAGAGACAGGTAATACTGGTTTTGGATTGATGCACCACTTTCACTACTCTCATTAAAAAGTGATTTTGTTTATTCATATGCATATATACACAGATATGTAAATATATGCACACACATACACACACACACACACACACACACACACACACACACAGAGAGAGAAAGAGAAAGAGATAAGCCACCAACTACTTATGGTCCACTTCCTTATGAGTACATCATGGCGTCTACTGCGTGTATTACTATAGACGCATTCAAAAGAAAACTTGCACCACAAGAAGGGATGATGCAGAACGTTGAATATTGCTCAGCTACAAAAAAAAGAAAGTACGAGGAATATTTAGAACAAGTTTTTATATTAGTATCTGTAAAAATATCTGGTAACTAATAGGTACTCAGTAGAAATGTATTGAATGCGTAGATGAGAGCTAATCACTGACACTGAGCCAGAACGTGTTTTGTCTTATCAATTGTGTAACTGTTTTTTAAATGATGAAGATAAGTGAAAGTCCAAACAAAGAGTTTTCACAGATTATAATACTAGAAATTGTATCTGTTCACTCTGGACTTATCATGAATAATACTGTGAGTTAATTTTATGTTTCAACTTCACTGGGTCTCAGAGTGCCCAAATACTTGGTCAAACACTATTCTGGCTGTGCCTTTGAGGATGAATTAGGATGAGATTAGCATTTAAATCAGACTGAGTAAAGATGATAGCCCTCCCTAATGTGGGTGGGCTTCATTGAATCAACTGAAGTCCTACATGGAACATATCTCGGCCCCTGCGGAGCGCGACCCACCCCCCAGAAGCGGTTCCACTGCCCACTTCCGGTCCTGTCACAGACTCAGCGACTGCCAGCGACCGCTGACCGCCCCGCTATGGCAAGTGCGCCAAAACTACCACCCCGACTGCGACGCCGCCGTCAACAGCCACGTCAACCTGGAGCTCCACGCCTCCTGTGTGTACCTGTCCATGGCCTTCTACTTAGACCGGGACGACGTGACCCTGGAGCGTTTCAGCCGCTGCTTCCTGAGCCAGTCGCAAGAGAAGAGGGAGCACGCCCAGAAGCTGATAATGCTGCAGAACCTGCGCGGTGGCCGCATCTGCCTTCCTGACATCTGGAAACCAGAGCGTGAATACTGGGAGAGTGGGCTCCAGGCCATGGAGTGTGCCTTCCACCTGGAGGAGAGTGTCAACTACAGCCTCCTGGAGCTGCACTACCTGGCCATGGAGAAGGGTGACCCCCAGCTGTGCGACTTCCTGGAGAGCCACTTCCTGAACCAGCAGGTCAAGGCCATCAAAGAGCTGAGTGGCTACCTGAGCAACCTGCGCAAGATGTGGGCCACGGGAAACCGGCCTGGCAGAGTACCTGTGTGACAAGCTCACCCTGGGCCGCAGTGGGGAGGAGCCCTGAGCCCAGATGGGCCCCACAGCCACGGGGTGCCTTCACCGGGTTGGGCCGCCAGACAGGGTGGGCATGTTGCCCTTCCAGAACGTTCTCTTCAGTTTTTTCCTTTCAGTTTTACCATTGTTGGCAATACAGTTATCTGGTTTTCAAAGCAATAAAGGTGTCCAGTTGATGCGTGCCTGCAAAACTCTCACTATTTAGGAATAAAGGCACATCCTCACACAAGTTTAAAGTTGATATCCAGCAGTCTCTCCACCCAGCCCTGCCCCATCTGCATGCAGCTCAGGATCTCCAAGGTTGGAGGAGGAAGGTATTCCATGGGGCCCTGGAAAGCACATTAGTCTTCCCTTTATAAACTACGTGGATATATGGAGTGGGATGGGGTGGGATGGGCAGTCTTGGGCCCTGGTGTCTGGGGGTGCTTGGGCATCGTAAAGTGTGAAACACGGTCCGGAATTCATCCCCACCTCTGGGGAAGAAGTGAGGGGAATGAGATTGGGCAGGGATTAAAATACACAAAGAGGTCTTCATCTTGACATGAAAACTTTTGTTTCTTAAATATGAAAATGTTAACATTTGTTGATTCTAGGTAGCAAGCTGGGGATCCTGGAAGATGGCATGACAGAGTACTCTCTGACAAACTCACGCTGAGTGACAGTGACTTAATGGGAATGGGCTGGTTTCTCCATAGACTTCGTAGTAAATCCCTATAGTCACCATTGCTGGGCATCTGTACTATTTCTTCCAATAAAGTCGTTACATATACATATATATTATAGTAAGTCCTCAGTTAATGTTGTTGATAGGTTTTTGGAAACTGCAACTTTACACAGAAGAACTGGTAAGGAAACCCATTTTACCCTAGGCTAATTGATATAAACAAGAATTAAGTTTTGTGGCATATTTCCCATCACAAAACATCACCAAACTTGTAAAGAAAGACCAAATTACTTCCAGTATTAAACATGGAAATAAATTTGAATTATAAGTACATTTAAAAGATTGATAGAAACAAGTAAAATAATTATTTATCCATGTATTCCAGTTCAGGGGGAGAGTGGCTGGTGCATACCTGGGAAGCTCAGGGAGCAAGGCCGGAATCAGTCCTGGCCAGGATGCCATCTCATAGCAGGTCTCTCTCTCTCTCTCTCTCTCTCTCTCTCTCTCTCTCTCACACACACACACACACACACACACACACACACACACACTCTTACACTGGGACAATGTAGACACCCCAACTCACCTAACATGCACAACTTTAGGATGTGGGAGGAAATGGGAGTACACGGAGAAAACGCATACAGACATGGGGAAAACGTGCAAACTCCACACAGACAGTGGCCCCTCTGGAAATTGATTTTTTTCCTCATCAACGTTATAATGAAACAACGTTGAACAAATCAATGTTGAAGGAACGATATTCGAGTATACTTATATATGCATAGATTTAAATTTTGTTTATATGTATTTCTTATGTATTTATTTATATGCATTCATTCTACCAGCAGCGGGCTTCATTTTGAATCTCCAGACAAGATTCTGAATTTTTGCTTAGGAAGGCCACCTTTGTTCAAAGCAGTTCAGTGACTGTGTTATTGAAAATGATACATCTGCTTTCTAGATCTTTTTTGAGCCTGGTTTTATTTCTGTGCTCAGGTTTCATATATCTAACTTCGATTTGGTTTTCTTTGCTTGCTACCAAGAGAAACTTAGCTAATAAATCTCATTATCAATACACCTTTATCGGGTTCTATTGTAATTATTTATAGTGAAGTGAATGGCTCCTCTGGGGTAGCAAATGACATTTTTCACTTTATTCCTAATAGAGTATGCTGAAAGGAAAAAGCATGAAAAATGAAAAGGAAAAAATAGAAAAAATTGTCTCCATGAAAATAGAAGTGAATGCTGCTATCACAGCCACTCCTTATCACCTGGAAATGTGTTTCTATCATAATTTATGGGGTTTTAATTCCTTAAACCAGCTTTTCCTTTTTTTTTTTTTTTTTTTTTTTGAGACAAGGTCTCACCCTGCCACCCAGGGTGGAGTGCAGTGGCACCATCACTATTCACTACAGCCCCACCTCAGCCTCCTGAGTACCTGGGACTACCGGCCCACACCATCACACTTGGCTAATCTGTGTATTATATGTAGAGATGTGGTTTTCTCATGTTGCCCAGGCTAGTCTCAAACTCCTTGGCTCAAGAGGTCCTCCTGCCTCGACCTCCCAAAATGCTAGCATTATAGGCACTAGCCACTGCGCCTGGCCTTAAACCAGTTTTATTAGACTCTGTTCCCTATCATCATATCACACAAAATAGCAATAGGTGTTCAGTGAAAAAGTGGATTTGTGGCAATATTTTAAATATATTTGTATTTATATATAATACATAATTATATATTTTGTATATATAAATATGTATCAATATTTATTAATATATATTTATATTATATATAAATATAAATTATATATATGCAGAACATATTTGTGTTTATTAAATTAGCAAATTTTTTTGCTTTGTTTTCAGTTTATATTTTTTACTCTAGGAATTTTCAGTCTTCAATATAAAAATATATTTTGTGAATTTACAACAGGAGGATAAAATATTCAGCATTTTCCCAACTTCCTAATCATGAGATGCTTTTTCTACCAAATTTTACAGAACAATACTCCAAAGAAAATAACTCCGTAAACAACATCAAAGAATCTCATGGCGTGTTATTCCAGAAGCATATACCCGGCAGCTTAACGGCTCTTTCACTGAGAAGTCATTATGCAAAACTTGCTTTTGCTGTGAAAATTCCAGCACAGTAAATTTCAAAGCAAAAAGTGGAATTCAAGCCCCTCAGCATGAGTGTGTGTAGATAACACCCAGAACCATTTTGTTTCCTGATGGATTACTCCTAACACTATATTTCTTTTCTGTTATCCTCTAATTTTCATTTTTAAATGAATGGTTTCTGAGAATGATGACATTGATATTTATCTAATACTTAAAGTTGAGAGGTGGTTTAGTGCTCCCACATAGCTTATACTCCTTCCTTTCTCTACCTATATATTCATCTTATCAGCAGGAAAGTTCTTCCTTTTGATTTTCCAAGATTGCTCATTTTTGGTCAGTAATACATCCTTTGGACAAAAGCAGTCAGTGCCTTAACTCTTTTGGAAAACAAATACCTGTTTCTTTTCTCACCAAAGCATGCTGAAATTCCTCAAAATTCTGGCACTGAGCTATGCGAAAAAAAAAAGGCACATATGGCTTACAGTATTTTAATAATAAAGTCCTGGAATGTTAAATAAATATACAAGTAATGTGCAGCATCTTATAGTCCACCTCTTTCCTCCAGTAGAGATCATCAGCATTTTCTATGTCACTATTCAATTTTGAATGGACATCCTGTTGCAGTGCATTCCTCTCTAGGTTCAGTAAAGGACATGTTAAGCTTCTCTCCAGCCCTAAAATACATGTTGTAATTCTATAAATTGAAACTGCATTTTTCCCAAACAATATTGAACATGAAGCAACACCTAACCATAAACTCTTGTAGCTGTTTTAATTTAAATGTATCCTCACAGCTACTTTTGGGTATACTTATATTCTTATAATTCCAATGAATTTGATAAGGTACTTATTTTATTCCCAGGCAGACATTAACATAATACAGAACTATTATTTTCTAAATATGGAAAATATGTAATCATTTTTATAAATGATTATTTTATCCTAGAAAATAACAAGGTGATTAAAAATGCTTTTTCACAAGAGCAGCGTTTGAGTCTGGCCTATCTTACTAACCACAACTTTCATTTGTCTGCTGTTTGGCTGTTTAATTCGATTCAACAAACATTTGTTCTTAATAAATGAGTTGGTGCTAGGGAGTCAAAGTTAAATGAGACATGGACTTGGCCCAGTTAAGTGAGATGTATTAGCAGTTTGCCAATTTTTTAAGAGTAAAACACACATCCAATATGAGGTTATTTTAATGAACAATTAAATCAAGAGTGAATTTAGGAAGTGTTTTCATTTATAATTTTCCATTCAATGTTTATTAAAGAGATAATGCTACACAATCATTCAATGAACTTTCACAAACAGTAATGAAATAATTTTTACAAGGTTTGTGGAAGAACGTAGGCCAGTTACTCTTCGTATCAAAACAGTGGACTCTAAACAAATCTAAAGCATCATCGTAATGACAATTATCTGAGTAATTTATAATATGGAAATAATGTATGAAGGAACTACCTATTCCTGATAATGAGGGGATGTTACCTAAGGGAGAGGGAGATTTTGAGCAATAACTCAACACAATGTAATAGATGAGATTTTGGCAAATAAGGAGATTACAAATTGGTTTACATATTTTATGATATTTTTGCCCTGAGACAAAGAATGCACTTGGAAGTATGTTTTCCTCGTGTGGATCACACAGGAGTCTTCTAAGGGACTGGTTTAAAAATATGTTTTCAAAACTAGAAATAAGTTATTTCTACTGTGGATATGAATCTGCAAGAAATCTATTGGTAAAGGTAATCTAAAAAAAAAAATAGGGCTTCCTAAATGTCAGCTTTTTATACCAGAAAAAAATACAGGTACTAGTTAAAGTCTTTTACAGTATCATGACTTGCTTTCACTAATGAAAATAGCTCACAGTTATTGAGAGCTTGCCATGTATAAGGCACCAGCTTAAGTCATTTATATAAATTACCTCATTTCTGCCTCACAGCAACATAAAATGTGGTGCTATTGTTATACCCATTTTACAGATGATGACAGTGAACTCAGAGAAATTATATTAATTCCTCATGTCTCAAAACTAGTAAGTGGCAGAGGCGAAATTTATCTCAAGACATTTTAAAATTTGATTTATAATTTCTCTGTTTCTCCATTGGTGGTTCAGGTGCATGCTGTGTAATTTCCATGTATTTATGAATTTTCTAAAATTCCTATTGTTATTTATTTCTACACTCATGCCATTGTCAGAAAAGATATTTAATGCCATTTCCACCTTCTTAAATTTGCTAAGACTTCTTTATGGCTTAACATTTTATTTATTCTGGAGGTATTCTCTATGTGCTTGAGAAGAATGTGTATTCTGCACAATGCAGTACATCTATTGGATGTACTGCATTGTGTATATCTGCTAGGTCCATTTGGTCTAAGGTGTAGCATGTGTCCAGTGTTTGGTATTTATTTTCTTTCTTAAAGATTTGTCCATTGCTGAAAGTGGATATTGAATTCTCCTACTGTTATTGTATTACAGTCTATCTCTCTCTTCATATCTACTAATATTTGTTTTATATATTTAGGTGGTCTGATGTTGGGTGCATATACATTTACAATTGGTATAGCCCCTTGATGAATTTACCCCTTTATCACGAATGACCTTCTTTCTCTCTGGAGGGAGTTTTTTACTTAAAACTATTTTTTTATACATATATGTAGCTGTTTTTGTCTTTTGGTTTTTATTTACATGAATATATTTTTCCATCCCTTCACTTTTATTCTATGTGAGTCCTTACAAGAGAAGTTAGTATCTTGTAGGCAGTGTGTGACTCGGTAATTTTTGTTGGCCATTCAGCCACTCTATGCCTTTTGATTGGAGAATTTAATCTCATTTACAATCAAGGTAATTATCAGTATGTGAGGACTTACTGTTGTCATTTGTTTATTGTTTTCTGGCTGATTTGTAGACACTTCATTCTTTTCTTCCTCTATTGCTGTCTTTGCTTTGTGGTTACCACAAGGCTTACAAGAAACATCTTATAGTTTTAAAAGGCTACATTAAAAAAAGTTTTATTATAAGTACAGGGGTACATGTGCAAGTTTGTTATATAGGCAAACTTGTGTCATGGGAGTTTGTTGTACAGATTATTTCATCACCAAAGTACTAAGACTAGTACCCAGTAGTTATTTTTTCTGATCTTCTCCCTCTTCCCACACTCTGCCTTCAAGTAGGTCCCAGTGTTTGTTGTGCCCCTCTTGGTGTCCATGTGTTCTCATCCTTTAGCCCTCACTAAGTGAAAGTATAATGGCCTCAAGCTCCATCCATGTTCCTTCAAAGGACATTATCTCATTCTTTTTTATGGCTGCATAGTATACCATGATGTATATTTAGCATATTTTCTTTATCTAGTCATCCGTTGATAGACATTTAGGTTGATTCCATGTCTTTCCTATTGTAGATAGTTCTGCAGTCAACATTTACGTGCATGCATCTTTACGTTAGAACGATTTATATTCCTTTGGGTATATACCCAGTAATGGGATAGCTGGGTTGAATGGTAGTTCAGTCTTCAGCTCTTTGAGGAAGCGCCACACTACTTTCCACAATGGTTGAACTCATTTATGCTCTCACTAACAGTGTATAAGCATTCCCTTTTCTCCACAATTTCACCAGCATCTGTTACTTTTTGACTTTCTAGTAATAGCCATTCTGACCGGTGTGAGGTAGTATCTCATTATGGCTTTGATTTGCATTTCTGTAATGATCAGTGATATTGAGCTCCTTTGTATGTACTTGTTGGCTGCATTTATGTCTTCTTTTGAAAAGTGTCTGTTCTTGTCCTTTGCCCATTTTTAATGGGGTTGTTTAATTTTTTTCTTGTAAATTTGCTTAAGTTCCTTGCAGATGCTAGATATTACACTTTTGCCAGATGCATAGTTTGCAAATATTTTCTTGTATTCCGTAGGTTGCCTGTTTATTCTATTGAGAGTTTCCTTTGCTGTGAAGAAACTCTTTAGTCTAATAAGATCTGATTTATCAGTATTTGTTTTTGTTGCAATTGGTATTGGTGTCTTTATCATGACATCTTTGCCAGTTTCTAATTCCAGACTGGTATTGCATAGGTTGTCTTGCAGGGTTTTTATAGTTTGGGGATTTCCTTTAAGTCTTTAATCCATCTTGTGGGTTTTTTAGTATAGTGTACAGTGTAAGGAATTTTGTGTGTGTGTGTGTGTGTGTGTGTGTGTGTGTGTGTGTGTGTGAGGAATGGGTTCAGTGTCAATCATCTGCATATTGTTAGCCAGTTATCCCAGCACCGTTTATTAAATAGGGTGTTTTTCCTCATTGTTTGTTTCGTCTGCTTTGTGGAAGATCAGATGTATGTAAGTTTGCAGCATTATTTCTTTTTTATATAGCATAAGGAACGGGTCCAGTGTCAATCATCGGCATAGGTCTAGCCCGTTATCCCAGCACCATTTATTAAATAGGGTGTTGTTTCCTCATTGTTTGTTTTGTCTGCTTTGTGGAAGATCAGATGTATGTAGGTTTGCAGCATTATTTCTGGGCTCTCTATTCTGTTCCTTTGTTCTGTGTGTCTGTGTTTGTACCAGTACCATGTTCTTTTAGTTACTGTAGCCCTGGAGTATAGTTTGAAGTAAGGTAACATGATATTTCCAGCTTTGTTTCTTTTGCTTAGGATTGCTTTGGCTAATTGGGCTCTTTTGTGGTTCCATATGAACTTTAAAATTTTTTTTATAGTTTTATAAATGTACTTTTAGGAATAACATAGATTCTGTAAATTGCTTTGGGCAGTATGGCCATTTTAACAATATTTATTCTTCCTATCCATGAGCATCAAATGTTTTTCCATGGTTTTGTCACCCCTGATATCTTTGAGCAGTGTTTTGTAATTCACAGAGTGGAGATCTTTCACATCCACTGTTTGCTGTATTTGTAGGTATTTTATTCTTTTTGTGGAATTGTGAATTGGATTTTATTCCTGATTTGGCTCTGAGCTTGGCTATTGTTGGTGTGTAGGAATGCTAGTAATTTATGTACATTGATTTTGTATCCTGAAACTTTGCTGAAGTTGTTTATCAGCTTAAGGAACTTTTGGTCCAAGGCTAAGGGGTTTTTACATATAGAATCATGTCATCTCTAAACTGGGATAGTTTGACTTCCTGTCTTCCTATTTGGATGACTTTTATTTCTTTCTCTTGCCTGATTGCTCTGGACAGAACTTATAATACTACAATTGAATAAGAGTGATGAGAGAGGGCATTCTTGTCTTGTGCCAGTTCTCAAGGATAATGCTTCCAGCTTTTGACCATTCAGTCTGATGTTGGCTATGGTTTTGTCATAGATGGCTCTTATTATTTTGAGGTTTGTTCCTTGAATGCCTAGTTCTCTGAGAGTCTTTAACATGAAGACATTTTGAATTTTGTTGAAAGCCCTTTCTGCCTCTATTAAGATGATCACATGTTTTTTGTCTTTTGTTCTATTTAGGTGATAAATCACATTTATTGATTTACATATGTTGTAACAATCTTGAATCCCAGGGATAAAGCCTGCTTGATCATGGTGGTGCTTTTTGATGTGCGGCTGTGTTTGGTTTGCGGTATTTTGTTGAGGATTTAGCATAAAAGTTCATCAAGGATATTGGCCTGAAGTTTTCTTTCTTTATTGTGTCTCTGCCAGGTTTTGGTATCACGATGATGCTGGTCTCATAGAATGAGTTGGGGAGGAATTCCTTCCACTCAGTTTTTCAGAATAGTTTCCATAAGAATGGTACAATCTCTTCATCATACATCTGGTAGAATTGGCTATGAATCCATCTGGTCCTGGGCTTTGTGGGGTTGGTAGGATATTTATTAGTGATTCAATCTTGTTGCTCATTTTTGGTGTGTTCAGGGATTCAATTTCTTCTTGGTTCAGTCTTGGGAGAGTGTATTTCTTCTAGATTTTCTAGTTTGTGTACATAGAGGTGTTCTAACTAGTATCTGATGATGATTTGTATTAACATATTTCTATGGAGTCAGTGGTAACATCCTTTTTGTCTTTTCTAATCATGTTTATTTGGATTTTCTATCTTTTCTTTATTAATCTAGGTAGCAGCCTATCATATTTTTTTTCAAATATTCAGCTCCTGGCTTCTTTGATCTTTTTAATGGTTTTCTGTCTCTCAATCTCCTTCAGTTCAGCTCTGATTCTGGTTATTTCTTGTCTTCTGCTAGCTTTGGGGTTGTTTTGCTCTTGTTCCTTTCAGTTGTAATGTTAGGTTGTTAATTTGAGATCTTTCTAATGTTTTAATGTGGGTGTTTAGTGCAATATATTTCCTTCGTAGCACTGCCTTAGCTGTGTCTCAGAGATTCTGCTATGTTGTGTCTTTGTTCTCATTCGTTTCACAGAACTTCTTAATTTCTGCCCTAATTTCATTATTTACCCAAAAGTGTTTCATGAGATGCTTGTTGAATTTCCATTTAATTGTAAGGTTTTCAGCAATTTTCTCAGTCTGGATTTCTATTTTTATTGTTTGTCATCCAAGAGAGTGTTTGGTATGATTTCAGTTCTTTTTTATTTGCTGAGGATTGCTTTATCTCTGATTGTGTGGTTGATTTTAGAGCATGTACCATGTAGCAATGAGAATAATGTATATTCGTTGTTTTGGGGTGGAGATCTTCATAAACCTCTCTCAGGTCCATTTGGTCCAGTATATAATTTGAATTATACTTCTGTCATTTCAGGCATCTCAGCTCAGTTAAGAACCCTTCCTATAGAACTAGTGTTGTTGTTTGGAGAATAGAAGGCACTCTGACTTTTCGAGTTGTTAGAGTTCTTGTACTGGTACTTTCTCATCTTTGTGGACTGATGTTCCTTCAGTCTTTAAAGTTGCTGTCCTTTTGTTTTTGTTCTATTCCTTTATCCTATTTGATTCCCTTGGGAGTTTGGTAGTGGTATAATGTGGGTTCAGTCAACTGGCTTTATTTCCGAAAGATTTTAGTTGTGGGGTGAGGCTCAACTCAGGAATCCTGGGCTGCATGCCCTAACCCTGGGTGAATGTTACCAATCCTGGATTTCTTCTCTGGCCCCTCAAAGTTGGGAAGCTGTGCTAGAGGGGCTGAGGTGCTCCCAGGCTGCTGGTCACAACACTCCAATGGGTAGTGCCACCCAAAGCACTTAGTAGGGAGGTGGCAGCAGTACCAGTTTTTGTTTGCTCATGCCAGTGACAGTGCAGCAGGATACTGGCCTCTGTGCAGATTTTCACAGTAGTGGTTGGTGTTAGCATGGCACAGCAGGGCGTGGTGCCCCCTACTAGTGTCTGTGTGAGCATTTGCGCCTGTGGTGGTGTTAGCATGAGGGCAGGGTTCTGGTGGGCTCAGGGCTGTGTGCGCCCTCTGTTCACTATCACACGGGTGGCTGTGGCTGTGGTTGCTCAGGGTGAGGGTGGGTCCGCTGGTCTCCATGCCTAGTTTTACACTAGTGGCAGTGTTGGCACAGGGGTTAGGTGCTGGCGAGGGTGAGGCTGGTGGATTCCATGCCCAAGAATGCTCCTACAGCGATAACAGTGCAGTGGGGGTGGGGAGCAGAATGCACTAACACTGGCAGCAGTGGCACAGCGGAGTGCACATGCACACATGTGCTTGCAGGGAAGGGAAGGCCAGGTCCTTTTGGACACACGTGCACTGGCAAAGATATTTGGGGGTGGTTGTGGGCAAGTGCATACAGGCAAATTGCCACAGGGGAGGCTGCAGTGCAGGAAGTGCTGACTGGCTGGTGTGTGTCCTCAGGTGCTGCTCTGTTGGAGCTCTCTGTCTGTGAGGTGCATTCTACCAGCACAGGAGCTATGATGTGGGACCCCAGGAGGTCCTCCTCCCCTGGGCACCTGAGACTGCACAGCAAGCAGGTATGGCCTGGCTAGGACTCCTGGGAGAGGCCAGCAGACTGAGGGGTGCTCAAGTCAGACCAGCCCCATCTCATGAGCATGGCCACCGTGTGGAGTTGAGATCTGTCAGTTCCCCTAGGACTAAAGTCTCCTATGGCAGCAAGTTGAGCCTAGGGAAATGGGTGTCCCTGCCTATACTCCATTACAGACATTCCCGCAACAAACCCTCTGGGCTCACACTGGCTGGAGTTCCGCCCCGCCCCTTCTCTAAGCAGCTCTCTCTGCCAACTCAAGTGTCCATGGTGGTCATAATTTATCCTTCTGTCAGGATTGCAGAGGCTCTTGGTGAGAGTGAGTTGCTCCCTGCTAAAAAAGGATATTTTAATCTGATAACAACTTAACTTTAATTGCATACAAAAACTTTACACTTTTACTTTCTCACACATTAAAAATGTTTGCTATAAATAGCTCTTATTATTTTGAGATATGTTCCATCAACACCTAGTTTATTGAGTGTTTTTAGCATGAAGCGGTATTGAATTTTACTGAAAGCCTTTTCTGCATCTATTGAGATAATCATGTGGTTTTTGTCATTGGTTCTGCTTATGTGATGGATTACATTTATTAATTTGTGTAAGTTTAACCAGCCTTGCATCCCAGGGATGAAGCCGACTTGATTGTGCTGGGTAAGTTTTTTGATGTGCTGAGGATTCAGTTTGCCAGTATTTTATTGAGGATTTTGGCATCGATGTTCATCAGGGATAGTGGCCTGAAATTTTCTGTTTTTGTTGTGTCTCTGCCAGGTTTTGGTATCAGGATGATGCTGGCCTCATGAAATGAATTAGGGAGGATTCCCTCTTTTTCTATTCTTTGGAATAGTTTCAGAAGGATTGGTATCAGCTCCTCTTTGTACCTCTGGTAGAATTCAGCTGTGAATCCGTCTGGTCCTGGACTTTTTTTGGTTGGTAGGTTATTAATTACTGCCTCAATTTCAGAACTTGTTATTGGTCTATTAAGGGATTCGACTTCTTCCTGGTTTAGACTTGGGAGGGTGTGTGTGTCCAGGAATTTATCCATTTCTTCTAGAGTTTCTAGTTTATTTGCATAGAGGTGTTTATAGTATTCTCTGATGGTAGTTTGTATTTCTGTGGGATCGGTAGTGATATCCCCTTTATCACTTTTTATTGCATCTATTTGGTTTTTCTCTGTTTTCTCCTTTATTAGTCTGGCTAGAGGTCTATCTATTTTGTTGATCTTTTCAAAGAACAGCTCCTGGATTCACTGATTTTTTGAAGGGTGTTTCATTTCTCTATCTCCTTCAATTCTGCTCTGATCTTAGTTATTTCTTGTCTTCTTCTAGCTTGTGAATTTGCTCTTTTTTCTCTAGTTCTTTTAATTGTGATGTTAGGGTGTCGATTTCACATCTTTCCTGCATTCTCATGTGGGCATTTAGTGCTATAAACTTCTCTCTAGACACTGCTTTAAATGTGTCCCAGAGATTCTGGTACGTTGTGTCTTTGTTCTCATTGGTTTCAAAAAACTTCTTTATTTCTGCCTTAATTTCGTTATTTACCCAGTAGTCATTCAGGAGCAGGTTTTTTAGTTTCCATGTAGTTGTGCGGTTTTGAGTGAGTTTCTTAATCCTGAGTTCTAATTTGATTGCACTGTGGTCTGAGAAACTGTATGTTATGGTTTATGTTATTTTGCATTTGCTGAGGAGTGTTTTACTTCCAATTAGGTGGTCAATTTTAGAATAAGTGCAATGTGGTGCTGAGAAGAATGTATATTATGTGGATTTGAGGTGGAGAGTTCTGTAGATGTCAATTAGGTCCTCTTGGTCCAGAGCTGAGTTCAAGCCCTGAATGTCCTTGTTAATTTTCTGTCTCATTGATCTGTCTAATATTGACAGTAGGGTGTTAAACTCTCCTGCTATTATCGTGTGGGAGTCTAAATCTCTTTGTAGGTCTCTAAAAACTTGCTTTATGAATCTGAGTGCTCCTGTATTGGGTGCATATATATTTAGGATAGTTAGCTCTTCTTGTTGCATTGATCCCTTTACCATTTTGTAAAGCCCATCTTTGTGTCTTTTCATCTTTTTTGGTTTAAAGTCTGTTTTATCAGAGACTAGGATTGCAACCCCTGCTTTTCTTTTGCTTTCCATTTGCTTGGTAAATATTCCTCCATCCCTTTATTTTGAGCCTATGTGTGTCTTTGCACATGAGGTGGGTCTCCTGAATACAGCACATCGATGGGTCTTGACTCTCGGTGGGAGTGTAAATTAGTTCAACCATTTTGGAATACAGTGTGGCGATTCCTCA
Organism: Homo sapiens; assembly: GCF_000001405.40. Lineage (NCBI taxonomy): Eukaryota > Metazoa > Chordata > Mammalia > Primates > Hominidae > Homo > Homo sapiens. The sequence continues at coordinate 34,160,509 of NC_000023.11, forward strand.
AGGATCTAGAACCAGAAATACCATTTGACCCAGCAATCCCATTACTGGGTATATACTCAAAGGATTATAAATCGTTCTACTATAAAGACACATGCATATATATGTTTATTGTGGCACTATTCACAATAACAAAGACTCGGAACCAAACCAAATGCCCATCAATGATAGACTGGATAAAGAAAATGTGGCACATACACACCATGGAATACTGTGCAGCCATAAAAATGATGAGTTCATGTCCTTTGCAGGGACATGGAGGAAGCTGGAAACCATCATTCTCAGCCAACTGACACAGGAACAGAAAACCAAACACTGCATGTTCTCACTCATAAGTGGGACTTGAACAATGAGAACACATGGACACAGGGAGGGGAACATCTCACACCTGGGCCTGTTGGGGGGTCGGGGGCTAGGGGAGGGATAGCATTAGGAGAAATACCTAATGTAGATGACGTGTTGATTGGTGCAGCAAACTATCATGGCACATGGATACCTATGTAACAAACCTGCATGTTCTGTACATGTACCCCAGAACTTGAAGTATAATAATAAAAAATTTTTTGAAGTTTGATATCACAATTTATATCTTTGTATATTGTGTATCTGTGATGATTAATATTAAGTGTCAACTTGATTGAGTTGAAGGATACGAAGTATTGTTTCTGGGTGTATCTGGGTGTTTATGGGTGTTGCCAGAAGAGATTAACATTTGAGGCAGTGGACTGGGAGAGGAAGTCTGCCCTCCTCCCCAGGAAGACCCACCCACAATGTGGGTTGGCACCATTCAACCTGCTGTCAGCATGGCTAGAAAAAGCAGGCAGAAGGAGGTGGAAGAACCTGAATTGCTGAATCTTCTGGTCTTCATCTTTCTCTCATACTGAATGCTTCCTGCCCTCAAGCATCAGACCCATGTTATTTGGCTTTTGGACCCTTGGACATACACTGGTGGTTTGCAGGGGTTCTTGGGCCTTCAACCACAGAATGAAGGCTGTATTGTTGGCTTCTCTACTTTAGAGGTTTTGGGACTCAGACAGAGCCATTACGGGCTTCCTTGCTCCTGAACTTGCAGATGGCCTATTGTGGTACTTCACCTTGTGATCGTGTGAGTCAAGTCTCCTTAATAAACTCCCTTTCATATATATATATATATATATATATATATATATATATATATATATATATATATATATATCCTATTAGTTCTGTCCTTCCAGAGAACCCTGTCTGATATAGTATCCCTTAACAAATTATAATAGCTATTTTTATTTTTAATAGTTTCATTTTTTAACTTTCATACTAAAGAATAATGGTGGTCATTTATATGCCACCATTATAGTATTATAATGGTATATTAAATTTGACCATCTACTTTCTTTTTCCAGTGAGTTTTATATTTTCATGCTTTTTTGTGTTACTAATTTGCATCAGGTTCTTTCAGTGTGTAGAAGTCCCTTTAGCATTTCTTGTAATAATGGCCTGATTGTGATGAACTCTCTCAGTTTCTGTTTGTCTGGTTAATTCTTCATTTCTCCTTCATTCTGGAGGACATCTTTGACAGATACAGTTTTCTTGGTTGGCAGTTTTTTTTTTTTTTATTTAGCACTTTTAATGTATCATCTCACTCTCTCCTGGCCTATAAGTTTTCTGCTTATAAATCTGCTGCTAACCTTGAACTTCCTTATATGTTATGTCCTTTTCCCTTGCTGCTTTCATGATTCTTTCCTTTGATTTTTGACAGTTTGATTATAATATTTCTTTGTGTCGTCTTGTTTACATTGAACCTGTTTGGAAACCTTTGGTCTTTCTTTAGTGGGATATTTATATATTTCTCCAAATTTGGAGAATTTTCTGCTATTATATCTTTAAATGAGCTTTGTACATCTTTTTCTTTTCTCCTTACATTGATGCCTGCTCTTTCGAAAACATGGGCAATTATTTTAGTCTTTATAAACTGGCTTTGTCTGGGACAGCCCTCTGCCAGTCGGCCCATCCAGAGATTCTGAGCAAGCTGCCTGCATGTCTGGAGGTAGGCTTGCTGCTGGAGTCATTGTGCAGCCTGGCCTGCTGCCTTGGTCAGCAGGTGGGAAGGCCTGGCACCTGGGTCTGCAGTGTTGGTCCTGAATCCTGGATTCATTGGGGTGGACCTGTTAATTGCATCTGTAGAGATGGGACTAAAGCCTGAGAGCATGAGAATGGCCCAAAACCCAGTATGTGTGGAGGCTGGCCTGAAGTCTGGGCCCACAGGGGCTGATATGACATGGGGGTGAACCCTTAACTTTAGTCCTCAACTGCTGGCCTGGCAGTGGGGTGTGTCTGTACCCTAAGTCTGCAATAGTACATGTGGGTCTTGAGTCCATAAGGGCTAGACTGGAGTCTAGGTTTTCAGGGGTGTTCATGCAGTCTCAGTTCATAGGATTCAACCTGACAAAGCAGTTTCCTGGAGTGGTTCTGACCTCGGGTTTGCTGGAACAGGCCTAGACCTGTGTCTTCTGGAGCCTGGGTATGACCTGATGCTGGGGCTGGCATGGAGCCTGTGTCTATGGGGGCTGCCCTGGAGAGTATGACTGTGGGTGTTAGCCTGGATCCTATGTCCACTGATGCTGGTCTGGAGACTTGTGCAGGTGCTAGCCTAGAGGCTAGGTCTGTGAAGGCTTGCCCTGTGGGGGATGGCCAGGGACCTGGGTACACACATGCCAGTCCAGAATTGTGATCTACTGGGACCGGCCTGGATGCTGGGTCTGCTGGATCAGGCCTAATCCCTGGGTTGCTAGAACATAGTGCCACAGGTGCCAGTCTGGAGGGTTGGGCCACAGAGACCAGCCTGGCACTGGGAAGGCATGGAATCTATGTCTCTGAGTGTCTACCTTGTATTTGAAGTTGGGCTGCTGACTTGGTGCTAGGGCAGGTCTGAAGCATGGGGCCATGAGGGCCACCTCAGTGCTGAGAATAGTCCAGAGCCTGGGGCCACTGGGTTCAGGCTGGCAGTGGGGTGGCTCTGAGACAGACTCCATCTAGTATGCCTAGAACCTGAAGCTACAGGATCTGGCCTCGAGCTGAGGTGGCTGGAGGCTCAGACACAGGCACCTGTGTAGAGTCTGGGGCCCTGGGGTTCTGCCTAGCACTGGGTTTTACTGGGGAATTCTCAGTGTTGGGGTCCAAAGCTAGGACCATTGCTTACTTCCTTCCCCTTCCCCCATATGGAGGGTATCTCTTTCCATACTGTGCTACCTCAAGTTGGTAGAGAGGTAATGAGGGTAACGTGAAGCTATTATTCCTACTCTCATCAATGTGACTTTTCTTATTTCTTTGATATACTAAGGCGCTATAATCTATCACCTGTCATTTCTGAAGATATATTTGTACATGATAATTGTTCCTATTGGTGCTTTCGTAGGGGCACAAGTGCTAGACAGTCCTATTTGCTGACATCTGTCCCTTCGAGCTTGAATTTAAATACATGCCATCTAACCTGAGATCGTGGACACTTAACCATTGTTCTATATGGTAATGAGTAAATCGGAAATTTCTAAGCCCTATGATTATGACAATGTGACATGATCTGTTGTGAGAAGTTAGTAGGGGAGAGATCCTAGAAGGCTGATTTAACAGAAATCTCAGTCCAGTGAGATACAACTACAACAGGTTCAATCAGTTAAGTGCCAATAACACAGATTGAGATGACCGAAAGTCTGAAAAGTCAAGGATTTGGGGGATTTGTCTAAAAAGGGCAGTTAATTTGAACATAGAGCCAATGCATGTCGTCTTCTGCTTTGTACTAAAGTAATTGCACAGGTCTTAAAAAGGTGAACTGTGGCTTTGATTGAGCAGGAGTAAGCTGCTGGGATCCTTTTAAGAACTTCGTTAGAGATATACAATAAAGATAGAAAGATTAAATGTAAATAAGAAGGGGTTATTTTAGATGGCTAGTAGATCAAACATATTTTAACCAGTCAATATAATACTTAATAAAAAATAAACAGCACATGAGTGAACATGGATTTTTCAATCCAACATTCTGTGATTAGTAACAGAGTATAATTAACATGTTGCTACCAATCTGAAACTCACATTTTGAGAAAAGCTTTTCAATTCCTTCACTCCTCCAGAGGACTCTAGGAGAGTACAAGGAAACATGTTTTTTTTTTCTTTTTGCTACATTCTCCCAAAGTTTGCTTTTCTTTTTTCTAGTTCTAAACATCATACAGTTGAAATGCCAACTGTATAATGTTAGTCATCATTCAGTTATTATGTTACTGTTAGCCAATGAAGTTAGAAAGGATGAATTTGTGACAGGATACATCCACATGGTTACCAATACTTTCTATAAAAATGAATCTAAGGCTTTTGTTTTCTGTCAGAGACAACTAAATTCTGTGCTTACCCAAGAAGAGGCAATTCACAATGTAGGTGAAAGGGGTGAGCAAATCTGGGAGACCAAGGAAGAGATATTGAAACTGTCTATTTTGGGGTTCATACAGGATAGAAGGTACATGTGTATAGGATTGTAATGAAGATTAATAGACTAGACAGAACAAAGGAGGTGAAGAACAAGTTCACAAAGAGTGAGAAACATGGAAAGGTGGAAATATTCACTCTGAAATTTGGGTGGTGGTGCTCTGCTGTCAGAGAAGTGGAAACTTAATAATGAGTAGAAGGAGAAAAGTGGAGATTGCTAGAGCTAATAAGGTCTAGGAAGTAAGTCAGGAGGTTATCCAAAGTGTTATTAGCATCAATGTGGACTCTTCTTTCTGTATCTAGGCAATCTGCTCTGTGCTGTGAATTCCATGCCTGCAAGATGCCAAGACCTTAAATAATAATTATATGATACATAATAAATTGACTACATTTCCATATCACTTTATAATGTGATGTCACAGTGGACAATATCTCTTTCTTCTCAGGAGCCCATTCATTCAGATGTTTTCTCTTCTTCTCTGTGAAAGCATCTTAAGACTGTGAAAGATGAAGTCAAGATATTAGATATTAAAATATTAAGACGTTTGCAACATTGGAAAATTTGTGTATGATAGTATCTTTTGGGTTTGAGTAAAATCATTTTGAAATTGGCATGTTGAAAACATACATCATCTCACTGATTTGGGGCCTGAGGGTATTAAGAATAAATGGAACATAAAATATATATGAATGGGTTTTTTAAAGAAAGCAAGGAGTTCTGGGATTGGACTTCACTCCTTCAAATGATTTTCATGAACTCATTTGGAAGACAAATATTTATGTTTAGTCTTAGGTAACTAAGTCCGTCAAGCCATAGAACAGCAGCCACCAACAGTTTGTCATGGCCAAGCAGCAGCAGTTCAGTGGCTCTGAGTGGTGAAAGGAACATGACATGAGTGTGTTTATGGAGATTCCAGAACTACATTCTTAATGCTACCTGAGTCAGCAATTCATTTGCCAATTGTATAAAATCCCCAAGTACTGCTGATTTATGTATGTATGTATGTGTGTACGCATTTTATTATACTTTAGGTTCTGGGATACATGTCCAGAATGTGCAGGTTTGTTACATAGGTATACGTGTGCCATGGTGGCTTGCTGCACCCACCAACACGTGATCTACATTAGGTATTTCTACTAATGCTATCCCTCCTCTTGCCCCCCACTCCTGAACAGGCCCCGGTGTGTGATGTTCTGCTCCCTGTATCCATGTGTACTCATTGTTCAACTACCACTTATGAGTGAGAACATGCGGTGTTTGGTTTTCTGTTCCTGTGTTAGTTTGCTGAGAATGATGGTTTCCAGCTTCCTCCATGTCCCTGCAAAGGACATGAACTCATTCTTTTTTATGGCTGCGTAGTATTCCATGGTGTATATGTGCCACATTTTCTTTATCCAGTCTATCATTGATGGGCATTTGGGTTGGTTCCAAGTCTTTGCTATTGTAAATATTGCTGCAAAAAACATACATGTGCATGTGTCTTTATAGTAGAATGATGTATAATCCTTTGGGTATATACCCAGTAATGGGATCACTGGGTCAAATGGTATTTCTGGTTCTAGATCCTTGAGGAGTCACCACACTATCTTCCACAATGGTTGAACTAATTTACACTCCCACCAACAGTGTAAAAGCTTTCCTATTTCTCCACATCCTCTCCAGCATGTTGTTTCCTGACGTTTTAATGATGACCATTCTAAAATGTGCAAGATGCTCTCTCATTGTGGTTTTGATTTGCATTTCTCTAATGACCAGTAATGATAAGCTTGTTTTCGTATGTTTGTTGGCCACATAAATGTCTTCTTTTGAGAAGTGTCTGTTCATATCCTTCACCCAATTTTTGATGGGGTTGTTCGTTTTTTTCTTGTAAATTTGTTTGAGTTCTTTGTAGATTCTGGATATTAGCCCTTTGTCAGATGGATAGATTGCAAAAAGTCTCTCCCATTCTGTAGGTTGCCTGTTCACTCTGATGATAGTTTCTTCGGCTATGCAGAAGCTCTTTAGTTTAATTAGATCCCATTTGTCAATTTTGGCTTTTGTTGCAATTGCTTTTGGTGTTTTAGTCATGAAGTCTTTGCCCATGCCCATGTTCCAAATGGTATTGCCTAGTTTTTCTTCTAGGGTTTTTATGGTTTTATGTTTAAGTATTTAATCCATCTTGAGTTAATTTTTGTATAAAGGGTAAGGAAGGAGTCCAGAATGACTACTGGTTAAATAACGAAATTAAGGCAGAAATAAAGAAGTTATTTGAAACTAATGAGAACAAAGACACAACGTACCAGAATCTCTAGGACACAAATAAAGCAGTGTCTAGAGGGAAATTTATAGCACTAAATGCCCACATGAGAATGCAGGAAAGATCTAAAATCGACACCCTATCATCACAATTAAAAGAACTAGAGAAGCAAGAGCAAACAAATTCAAAAGCTAGAAGAAGTCAAGAAATAACTAAGATCAGAGCAGAATTGAAGGAGATAGAGAAATGAAATACCCTTCAAAAAATCAATGAATCCAGGAGCTATCTTTTTGTAAAGATTAACAAAATAGATAGACCTCTAGCCATACTAATAAAGAAGACAGAAAAATCAAATAGGCACAATAAAAAATGATAAAGGGAATACCACCACTGATCCCACAGAAATACAAACTACTATCAGAGAATACTATAAACACCTCTGCACAAATAAACTAGAAAAATCTAGCAGAAATGGATAAATTTCTGGACTCATACACACTCTGAAAACTAAACCAGGAAGAAGTCCAATCCCTTAATAGACCAATAACAAGTTCTGAAATTGAGGCAGTAATTAATAGCCTACCAACCAAAAAAAAAAAAAAAAAAAAAACCAGGATCAGACAGATTCACAGCTGAATTCTACCAGAGGTACAAAGAGGAGCTGGTACCATTCCTTCTGAAACTATTCCAAAGAATGGAAAAAGAGGGAATCCTCCCTAACTCATTTTATGAGGCCAGCGTATCCTGATACCAAAACCTGGCAGAGACACAACAAAAAAAGAAACTTTCAGGCCAATATTCCTGATGAACATCGATGCCAAAATCCTCAATAAAATACTGGCAAACCGAATCCAGCAGCACATAGAAAAGCTTATCCAGCACGATCAAGTCAGCTTCAACCCTGGGATGCAAGACTGGTTAAACTTACACAAATTAATAAACGTAATCCATCACATAAACAGAACCAATGACAAAAACCACATGATTATCTCAATAGATGCAGAAAAGGCTTTCGATAAAATTCAACACACCTTCATGCTAAAAAACACTCAATAAACTAGGTATTGATGGAAATATCTCAAAATAATGAGAACTATTTATGAAAAACCCACAGCCAATATCATACTGAATGGGCAAAAGCTGGAAGCATTCTCTTTGAAAACCGGCACAAGTCAAGGTGCCCTCCCTCACCACTCCTATTAAACGTAGTATTGAAAGTTCTGGCCAGGCAATCAGGCAAGATAAAGAAATAAAGCGTATTCAAATAGGAAGAGAGGAAGTCAAATTGTCTCTCTTTGCAGATGTCATGATTGCATATTTAGAAAACCCCATCGTCTCAGCCCAAAAGCTCCTTAAGCTGATAAGCAACTTCAGCAAAGTCTCAGGATACAAAATCAATGTGCAAAAATCACAAGCATTCCTATACACCAATAGCGGACAGACAGAAAGCCAAATCATGAGTGAACTCCCATTCACAATTGCTACAGAGAATAAAATACCTAGGAATACAACTTACCAGGGATGTGAAGAACCTCTTCAAGGAGAACTACAAACCATGCTCAAGGAAATAAGAGAGGACACAAACAAATGGAAAAAACATTCCATGCTCATGTATAGGAAGAATCAGTATTGTGAAAATGGCCATACTGCCCAAAGTAATTTATAGATTCAATGCTATTCCCATCAAGATACCATTGACTTTCTTCACAGAATTAGAAAAAAACTACTTTAAATTTCATATAGAACCATAAAAGAGCCTGTATAGTCAAGGCAATCCTAAGCAAAAAGAACAAAGCTGGAGGCATCACACTACCTGACTTCAAACTATACTACAATGCTACAGTAACCAAAACAGCATGGTACTGGTACCAAAACAGATATATAGACCAATGGAACAGAACACAGCCCTCAGAAATAATGCCACACATCTACAACCATCTGATCTTTGACAAACCTGACGAAAACAAGCAATGGGGAAAGGATTCCCTATTTAATAAATGGTGTTGAGAAAACTGGCTAGTCATATGCAGAGATTTATTTTTGTAATATGGGACATAAAATTCGGTATTTATTGAGGTTTAAAATATCCATCTATGCTTATCAAGCTAAATACATTGACTTTTACATTGTAATTATAAAATGTGTAAATGTGTATCATTGTTCTTACTTGATAATAAAATATTTGGTTATCTCATTTTTGTTAGAGCAGAGTAATGTATTTAACATTAAATATAAATTAGAATCTAAAGTCTACAGTGGGAACTAAAATCACTGTTAGAATTTGAAAAATGAGGTAATATTTATGATATTATAGCTATTTATTACTGGGCTTCCTATTCAAAGACAATTCTGCTGATGGTGATTATAATCTTTTAATGATGGTATGATTAAGATGCAAATGTGTAAATAGAAATGTAAGGTTATCTTGCAGTATCTTCTAATTTTTTTGACTACCATAATATTTTTAAAGATGTTCTGTTAGCAAATGTATATTGTTATTACATTGACACAAAGGAATATATTAACACAGAAGAGAACAGTGGCACAAAAATCTATCTACTATTTGGATTCTGTATCTAAAACAAAAAGATTATTTTACATTAGGCAAATTTAATAGTTCTTTTTATTTTTAATACTATGAATAAAAATTATTTTATATGTTATATGCAGTACATATATGTGAGAAAAAATATTTCTATTCTTTCTCACTCTGACGTTCAATTTTAAAATATTGAGATTAAATATTAAGCATCAGTTGTATTTTCTTAAAATTTTATAAAATTCATTGGTATCATAAATGGGAAAAAATTACAAAAGTAAAAATAACCATAAAATTAAGGAAGTTATTTCTTACAAATATGACTCTTCCTCATACCTATTTTAGAATACATAAGTAAGAAATCTCTTCTCTTAAATATCTATATAAGTCACTCTTATTATTACTTGTTAATGACAATGTACTTTTATTTGTAACTATCTCTAAGACAAAATAGATTATATATTGACTTAAATATGTCAAGGGAAGACTTCCCATCAAAATATTAGATCTCTTCCATTTCTCCAAAGGCTTCTTTGCCAATTTTAGTATTAGACATTAGTGATTTACCTATATTAATTATCATTCATTTACCCACATATAACTTACTGTTTCATTATTTACTGAAATATTTATCTTCACATAATACAGCCATGAACCGCATAACAACGTTTGGGTCAATTGCATATTTGAAGGTGTTCCCATAAGATTATAATGGGGCTGAGAAGTTCCTATCACCCGGTGATGTCTTGATGACCTTGACTTTGTGTAGACCTAGGCTAATGTGCATGTTTGTGTCTTCATTTTCAATAGAAAAGTTTACAAATTAAAAGTACATAAAAAATTTCAAAATAAAAAAGCTTATAAAATAATAATATAAAGGAAGAAAATATTTTTGTACTGCTGTACAACGTGCTTGTGTTTTAACTGTTATTATCAAAGAATCAATTTTTAAAAAATTAAAAATTTTATAAAGTAAAAATGTTACAGAAACCTAATGTGATTTATTACTGAAAATGAAAAATATGTTTTAATAAATTTAGTGTAGCTTAAGTTTAAAGTGTTTTAAAGGTCTTCAGTAATGTACAGTAATGTCTTAGCCCTTCACCTTCACTCACCATTCAGTCACTGATTCACCCAGAGAGACTTCCGGTTCTCCAAGCTCCATTCATGATCAGTGCCCTATACAGTATACAGTTGTATCATTTTAAAAAATCTTTAATAGCATATTTTTACTGTACCTTTTCTATGTTTAGGTATGTTTAGACATTCAAATACTTACCATTGTATTAGGATTGCCTCCAGTATGTACTACAATCACAAGCTGTACAGGTTTGTAGCCTGTGAGCAATAGGCTATACCATATAGCCTAGATGTATAGTGGACTATACCATTTAGGTTTGTGTAAATGCACTCTGTGATGTTTACATAACAACAAAATTACCTAACAATGGATTTCTCAGAATGTATCCACTTCTTTAAGTGACACATGACTGCACTGTTTATGAAATATATTCCTTAGTATCTATTTGAATGTAATGGTATATCAATGAAATAAACTGATAAATCTCTTGACTGATAAAGTCCATTGTGACACAAGTGTCTATTGCCAAGGTGCCTTGTGTCCTCTAGCCTGCTGGAGTCACCTTGGGCTTTAAGATTGAAATAAAGCAAGTCACATATCACGCTGTATAAAATCCAGTGTCCATAGCATCTCTGAGGATCTTTGGAAAACTCATTTTTCTTCCTCATCTCTGGTTTTATTTTCTTGCCCCCTTTATCTTGCATGTCTCATTTGTATCTTACCTTTTGTTAAAGCCATCCTTCCACATACTGACGTCCAAACGTATCTGCTTCCTAGACAATTTTGGCAGCCCAAATTGATGCTTCATTATACATAGTAATTCGGTTATCTTTATAGTCTCCCAGAGAGTGCCCTAAAGATCTCTTCTATCATGTTCACAGCATTATATCAAGGTATTTTCCGTAACAAAGGGCTATACACAGAATGAGAATATGCCACAATCTTAGGAGGCAAACATATCTGTAGCCTGCTATGATTTTAAATAGTATTTTTCTCAGCTACACATTTAATTACTTGATACTATGACACCTTTGATGGTAAAAAAGCATCACAAAATTAGTGACAGTTTTAAATGAGCAAAAGAACAAAGGCCTAAAAGAAGAATATTTTTACATTGACTACATTTTGTCGCAAATTCTTGTAGAAGTAGAATTTGCCATGGATCTTCCCACTCCAATTCCAACAAATCTTTCTGCTACACTATTAGAGCAATTTAGAAAATATGAGATGTAAAACCTAAAATAAAGTATTTATGTTAGCTACAAACAACGTGACAAGAGCATATTCAGTGGTTGAGAAATGTAATCTCAAGAATATGTGTGTTCAAGTGACACAGAAACTTGATAATGTCATTTCTGATAGTTGTTAAGGAAATGCTTCACTGAGAGTGGAATATCAAAAATGATTGACTATGAAAAAGAAAAACTGAGGTGAACATTTTGGAAGGGTTATTTTATCAAAAAGACATAAGATACGCAACATTCTGTACGATATTTTTTTCTTTGCAAATTTCAAGTTTTAGATATGGGGGGTACATGCACAGGTTTCTTACATGAGTATATTATGCCCAGGTATATTATGCCTACTTAAAAGTGAGTACATGTGGTCTAAATTAAAATTGTGTATTTATATATAGACTGTATTCCATCATTATAATAGTCTATCCTTATTCGTGAGGAATATATTCCAAGACCCCCAGTGAATGTCCAAAAGCTCAGATGATACCAAATCTTATAAGCCCTCTGTTTTTTCAATCTTATTACTGAGATAGCTACTAAGTCATTAGCCAGAGGATAGTGTATACAACATGGATAATCTGGACAAGGGGATGATTCGCATTCCAAGATTCTAGATTTTATCATGCTACACAGAACAGCACCGAACTTAAAAAGTATGAATTGTTTATTTATGAAATTTTTCATTTAATATTTTCAGAATGCAGTTGGCTGCAGGTAACTGAAACCGCATAAATGGAAACCATGGATAAGGGGAGACTAATGTATATAGATTTTGACTCTGATGCTCTTCTACATAACCTAATCATCACTGGAATAGTGTATCATTGTGGAATTGGTTGTATTTTATTCCCCTTGTTTCCAATAACATTACTCAAGGATGTAGTAAGAAGAAACAAATTGTGAGGGTGTGCTCTGATAGAAAAATACACGAGTATAACAAGCCACAGGATACACTAGATGCATTGCCATATGATGCTAATGTTGAGAAACATTTTGCCTCTCTTTGATATAATTATAGTTCGAAAATATGTTATGATATTTAAAAAGGAAAAGCAGCTGCTTAAAAATCAACCTCTCATGGCAATCTCTAAGATTCTTACAGTTCTGTAGCTCATTGTTTTTAAGTTATTGAATTTGAAGATATAATTTCAACTGAAAATTAAAAAGCCTCAAGAATGGAGAGAGTAGACTCTTATTGAATGTAGGAGAGCCAAAAGCAAATAATAAAAACTGCTTGATTGAGCATGGCTATTGGACCTAGAAGAAACCTCTCTGCTTGCTCTTTGCATGAAGAATAAAATATAAGAACAGTAAAATAGCTCATCTGTAGTTGTAGAAAGTTCTAAGAGACTCCTACCTGACCCAACTTCCAAGGTCTCTGAGAAGCCCTGAAATCAGACCTGGTTACCTTGGCTCTGCTGACTTCCAGCTTGACCACTCTGTAATATAATTATCAACTTTAATAACAGTTTCTTGACATGTTCACCCAGGATATTAAGAAAATTTACAAAGTATTCAGGAAGCTTTTCAAAATCTAGACAGTTACATTGTTAATAGTTCAAAATTAACCTATTTTCTATCGTCCACCTAAATTTATTTTGAGAAATTTTAATGATTTCCTTTAATTTAGCAATTCAGACAATACAATACTGAATAAATAAGGGGGCAGGTTCATCAAAGTCTGTGGCAAAATACAGAGAAGGTAGATTCTAAAAGGCTGCTCAAAACCTTTAAAGTTTTTAGGTATAGTAGATTCTAAATTTTGGACCATAATAATCATACATTTCTTTTTAAAAGCTATATTTGGTAAATCATCACAATGATTTTTTTATAATCACACTATTTGGACATAGAACAGAATATAAAGTAATATAAGATAAAACACAATTTTCAATGCACAGAGGTCAAATGTTCATTCCATAGATGTTGAACATAAAGAGGAGAAATAAGACCAACAGTCTTCAGATGTTTAAATGTAATAAGAAATTAAAGACTGATTATTTCACTGGATGTTCAGCTTTAACTGGATAACAAACACTTTTAAGCATTTTATGAAATCAAAATATTTCATAATTTTAAAAAAATGATTTTAATATTTGAGGATGGATCTTTTTTATATGAGGTATACTATAATACCTTTCACCTGAGGTGGGTGTTATTCGGCACCATATTGCTTTATTTTTGTTTTTTTGTTTGTTTATTTGTTTTGGACGCAAGTTCTCACTCTGTTACCCAGACTGCAGTGCAGTGGCAGAATCACAGCTCACTGAAACCTCAACCTCCCTGGCTCAAGCAATCCTTCCACCTCAGCCTTCCAAGTAGCTGGGACTACAGGTGCACACCACCACACCCAGCTAACTTTTGTCTTTTTTGTAGAGATGGGGTCTCACTATGTTGACTGGGCTCATCTTGAACCGTGGGCTCAAGTGATCCTTCTGCCTTGGCCTCCCAAAGTGCTGGGATTATAGGGATGAGCCACCGTGCACAGCACCATGTTCATTTTTCATGTGTGAAATCATCACCACATCCTTCTCTTAGAAAGATAATGAGATTATTATAGGTAGCATGTGTGAAGCTCATTGTTTTCTCCATATTCTCTCCTCTCCCTACCATTTTCACTGTACTAGAAGTTGTTATGAGGGAAATAATGCTTTTCATCCATCACAGATCCTGTTTCCTGTTTCTGAAGGTTGCCAAGTAAACAGGGACAAAAGTGAATCTGCTCTCCTGCTCTCTGGTCTGTATAGGTGCTTCAGATGCAAAAGGAGCTGCTACCAGATGCTTGTAGGTGTCCCGAGCAGATTCTAGCCAAACTGTGTTGTCCCTTCATGTAACTATTCTTTAATATCTATTGCTTATTTTGTTATAAAAGAACTCAAAAGTGGTATGTGGAAAAGAGCTGACAAGGAGGACTAGTAGAAAAAGAAATTCAACCCTGGTCTCACATTTACAGACTCTATTCAATAAAATAAATTCATGCAGTTGACCATACCTACTCTCCTAGGAAGGCTAGGTTAGTGACCACGCATTGTTATGTGACCATGACCCCTGAAAGTCAAGTGTCCACCCCAAGTACTTTATTATATTTTCCTTTCAACCATATATATGATTTTTCCTGAAAGAATAATGGTAAATATAAAGTTTCCCATCTTGCAACATTAACCGTGATGTTGTTCTCTAGTATCTCTTATTGATGTCTACCTCTTGTAAGTATCCTATTGATCTCCTCTTTAATCCATTCTTAGAGTTGAATAATCCGTTGTGACCAAGATGGCTATGTCATGCTTAGTTGTGAGACATTTTCTACCCTCTGGATCCATATTACAGGTAAGGGAATTTCTGTTCCAGTCTCTCCAATGCTAAAATGACCTGGGAGACAGAACAGAGATGGAGAAGACTATGTATAAAGAGCAGGTGGGCCTTCCTTCATTCTGGAGTGGTCTCTGACACAAACATTTAGTTAGGAGTTAAAGAATATCAAGTATGAAGAATATGAAGCCGACAAAGTCTCAAATTGATGACATACTTCTTCATTAATTTATGGCTAGGTAGTCTGGGCATGGTGGCTCATGCCTGTAACCCTAGCACTCTGGGGGGCCAAGGCAAGTGGATCGCTTGAGCTTGGGAGTTCAAGACCACCAGCCTTGCCAACATGGCAAAACCCCATTTCTATAAAGAATACAAAAAGTAGCCGGGTGTGGTGGTACGCTGGTAGTCCTAGCTACTTGGGAGACTGAGGTGGGAGGATTGCTTGAGCCCAGGAGGCTGAGGCTGCAGTGAGCTGAGTTTGAGCCACTGCACTCCAGTCAGGGCAACAGAATGAGACCCTGCCTCAAAAAAAAAAAAAAAAAAAAATCTATGGTTAAGTGAGTCTTCATTGCCTTGTTCTGCTTGGCAAAATGGTGATTTCTAACTTTGGATAAAAGGACCCTTCCTTCTTGGCAGGGAATAAAGGACAAAAATTATGGTTCAAACTAGCAAACTTAGAAAATATAACACACAAAAAAGAGCAAGGTTATTTGTATATTTCCCTTTTTAAATGTTTGTCTCTCCCACTGGATAATAAGCTCCATGAAAACATGGACAGCATTGGTTTTGTTCACTATCGTAGCCCCAGAATTTGGAAAAGTGCTTGGTACATAGTAATTTTTCAATGAATATATGTTGAATAATTGAATAAATGTCATCTAAACAAAAATTTTGAAGACAAAGCAAATGTGACTAGCTTAATACTTTAGAGGAAAATATTACTTTGGTGGAAACAAAATCCCATAAATGTTTTCACATGAACATTTGATAGCACAGAGGAAAAACACCTAAGGAAAAGAGAGAAAGAGAATGGCTTTTATAGGTTGTGCTTCTGGGAGGTAACTCTTAAATTGGTATTTGATTGCAGTTTAGTTTGGAGTAACTTCTGGATAAAGAACACAGGCAAAATATGTGATACAGCATCAATAAAGCCCTCAGCTTGTGCCCGGGGAAGCCCTGGAGCTGGAAATAGTCTTGAGAATTGGCTTGAATCGGGGAAAGGGGACATGAACTTTATACCTGCTTTACCCCCTTGCATTTCCCAGTTATTGGATGTGGGTTATCCTTGGAAGGGTGAGCATGTGACACACAGGAAAGCAGTACACTGTAGCAGAGGGAAAGGCCTTGAAACAAACACAGTGGCAGACTGTCAGCAACCAACACTTAACAGCAGCAAGAAGAATGAGTGATTCCACCTGAAGGGACAATCTGGACACTGCCTGAAAGCGGTAGGCTTCAGAGAGGGTGTCTAAGAACTAGGTCTTGGGGATAAAAATGATATCATTGAATAATGTCAGATACTCCAACAACAACAAATACACATTAGCATGAAGTGTAATGATAGGCTGAAGGAAACATGAGTAGAAATGATACATAATATCTATTATTATAATATGATGATGATGACAAAAGTAAAAAGCAGTTAGTAGTGGTAACTATGTGTCAAAAGCCATGCAATTTACATATGTAGTAGAGTCAAATATTATTTATGGTAACCAGAACTAAATTTACTAATGCATGAGTATCATGATCTTTCTTTTTTTGGCCAGATTACTATAAGCAAAGAGTCTTACTTTATCCATATATGTCCCCAGTCTCTCCTTTTCTGTAAAAGAAAGTCTGACAACTATATAAAGTGGGTATAATAAGAACATTTTAGAAATGGAGAGAATACTGGTTTCTGGAGAGGGCAGGGAAGGGTAGAGTGGGAAGGCGTATTGTGGTTATCAAAGGGCAAGAGACAGGATTCCTGTGGTGATGAAACTGCTTAGCATCTTGACTGTAGTGGCAGATACAAAAAGCTACACATCTGATGAAATGTGATAAAATTAAACACACTCACATGTGCAAACACACACAGGAGTATGAATAAAATTAAGAAAATCTAAGCAAAATGGGTGGATTGTATCAATGCCAATATCCTGGTTTGATATTGTACTATGCTTTTGCAAGATGTGTATCCACAAAAGTTTTTAAAAATTAAACAATTAAAATATCATGTTATCATTGTAGGAAACTGTGTAGAAGATACATCAAATATGTTTTTATTATATCTTACAATAATAAAGTGATTTACCTACTTACAGTAAGTTATGTAATAATTATTTCAATGAAACTTTCAATGTAAAATTACAAACATACTACTAGTGGGTATTTTTAAAGATTATGTTGCATTTGGGTTCATATTATCACCTACTGCAATAAATTTGGAATCAACTAAAATCAATGCTGTTGGAAGTGTTAAAGTATTATCTAGAAAACCTGCTTAGTTCTTGCCTATTTCCTCCAGGTACCCAACTCATTAGACTGATCCCTACCTTCTGCCACCAGTTTTACAAGAATTTAAATGTGATCACTGTCTGAAAAAATGTGATCATTTTGACCAGCATGCAGAATTTAGTGAGAAATCTATTAAGGGGAGTAGAAGAAGGCAGAGTGCCTTTAAGAATAAAAACAACAATGGTTCACATAAATTGAACACTTATTATGTTTCTGACACTGTGCTAATTTTATGTTCTTTGACTTTTAAATCTTAACAATATCTTAAAGTACCTCTTATTACTGCCATTTTACAGAGAGATTGCATACATTTCTAAGTGCATGGAGCTATGAGAGGCAGAAGTGGGATTAATATTCACATCATTTTCTAAGCTTCAGATCTTTGCTTCTATGATATATCACATATAAAATATAGCTAAAGAGAGCTCAGGACAAAGGATGACGGACTGTGCCTTAACTATAAATTTGGTGAATCCAGGTAGGCATACTGAAGGCTTAGGGGGAAAATCATTCAGGGTAAGGGATCTAGGCAATAATTCAGAGGTCATCTATCCTTGCATTTTAAGAACTCTCCAAGAAGAGAAACCATTATTGTCAAATCTCCAGGAAATGGAAAATAGTCATTGTTGAAAAATATATGGTTTTCTATCCTTCTGCAGGCTTTTTCTGTTGGAACTTTAATATAAATATAAGTTTTATCTGATTTGAATTACAGCTTATGGTTGTAATTTGAGAGAATTGTGGAAGTCTAGCTGGGACAATCCTTGAAAAAGCCATTATTGCCCATTTTATTCACAAAGGGTATAGTCACCTCTACTATAGATAATCTAATAAGAACATTATGACTGCAGATATCATGTGTGAGACGTGTGTTAGTATAGATACAAACCAGACACACAAATATTACTTTTTCATTCTTTCTGTTCACATCTCTGCTACCTCCCTCATTTATTTCCCACCTCCTCTTTCGTCCTCTTCTGTTTCTGAAAACCTCTTTTCATTATCATTCTCTTCCGTAATTTTTCTCTTTCTTCATCTCTCCTCTCCTGGTTTTGCCTTTCATTGTATTCTCTATCACACAATAGCATTGTCTGTTCTTTAGCACAAATGCAGTCACTTAATGTTTCTCACTTTATCTTCAAAGTGAAATATAAACTAAGCCCACACTCACATCCCTCTCCCTTCTCTCACAAACCATTTCTCAGTATCTAGACAATAAGCCACAACTTAGATTTCAAGATTTCAATGTATTTTTATGTGGTGTGTTTTTAATGTGATAATAATGACAATTATTCTGAAAATTTTCTTTTTGAAGTTCTTAAATTTGTTTCTCATAAAATATGTTCCTAAGTTTGTGTACGTCCCATTTCCAAGTCACATTTTACATTGCGCATTCTAGTTTATTTTATAGTATAGGCTACTTTTGTTTTACAAAAATCATAAGTTGCTTCCTCCCAGCTATTCCTCAGTAAATAACTATTCTCCTCATGTGGGACTATCCAAACTCAGCCCAACAGAGGTCTTTCTGGACACCACTTAGAGGCACAGGCCAGCATCCTGCTGTGATGATTACAGATGTTCTCATTTTTGATGAAAGAAGAGAGAAGTAACAACCCACAGTTAGCAGTAAGTCCCAGTATACCTGCTTATCTAGCTGAGTGTTCTAGAAATCACAGGCCGAAAATCTGTATCTCCCTGGATATGCATTTGGCCAATTTAGCTAAAGAAAAGTTATAATTTAGAGTCATATTTTCATCTATGTAAGTATGAGATAAAAGCTGTATTTTTTTGTCCTAATTAACTTTAATGTGTTTCTTTCTTGGTTATTCCAGATGTACTTAAGCTGCTGCATTGGTTTATATTCTTCTCTTATTTACAGATTTGTGGAATCTAGATAGAAATCTTTCTAAAGTACTTCAAAGCCCAAATTTATTCAAAATCCACTTTTCAGAATATTCACAAAAACATTAAAAATATATTCAAAAAGAGAGAAGCAATTGAAGATTGCAATGAAACCTAGTTTATAATTATTTATTTAAAGGTCATTTTTATCTCATTTCCCCAGTGGCTAACAGAAAAACAGAGCCCTTCAAATACCAACGATAATTACAGAGAAGGACAAATGCAATAATGTTCTTGATATTGGGTACTGTAGGGAAAATGTTTGCCCTCGGAGACACATTTTCTTCCATATATAAATTCATAAACAAATGTTACATTTAATTTGAATTCATTTTAGTAGTAATTTTTAGTAGCCTCTCAGCTATATTTAACAGTTTAACAATCTATGTCCCCTGATTCAGTCCAATCATGACAATTATTAATCGTTTTTATTTAACAATCTTAAAACTCCTGAGATATTGAGTATATTATATCAGCTCATTTAATACATATTTGAGATTCATTAGACTTTTCATAACCTCAAAAATAGACAACCTGTATTCTTAAAGTAATTGTAAGTAGAATCCCTATACTTTTCTATGGCAAGCAAACCAATTAACACCAAAATAAGTACTTGCTTGGCAGAGGCCAAAAAATACCTGAATAAATTGAAAACAATATGGGTTGAAAAAGCTAAAATTTTTCTAAACTCATAAAAGATCAAAGAAAAGTAATTACCATAAATCTGTATATCTAAAAGCACATCATTTACTTTGAATAGAATCTTGGAAACCTGGAGTTCCAAGAAAACTTACAGAAAACATTTTTAACCTTTTGAAGAGTCAAGACTCTTTTGAGCATGTAATGAATGCTTATGAACCCTCTCTTTAGAAAAATCTATGCATGAAATACACAAAAAATTGCTTAACTCTAGGTAGTTTGTAGAAAACCTGAAGATCTCTTAGAGATTGTATATGCCAAGTTAAAAATCCCTATCTTAGATATAGCCAGATCTTATATTCTACAAAATCTATTTCTTGGCTTCATAACATATATAAATGATAATCTGTTCTTTATTAAATACCTCTGGTTCCAGAAAAATTACTAATTTTAAAAATATTCGATTTTTTGATACTTGTAATTTTTTTTTTAAGTTCTGCTTTTTATTTTACTATTTAACTGAAATCAGAAGTTCTGAAGTCTCTAGCTACCCAGAGTAAATCCCTTTCACATGATAGCCTTAATACTCAAAGTATAGCTATAGTAGCCTTCTTTGGTTTCTTCTTCTTCAAGCCAAATGTCCCTAAAACCTTCAGTCAATCTTCATAAAGCCTGATGTTCAGATTCCTCAAAATTTTGAGCACTCTCCTATGAATGTTCTCTAAAAGTGTCCTTAAAACGTGGCAACCAAAGTAAGTGCACATGCTATTTGATCAAATAAGAGTTTATTTTTTCTACTCTACAGAGTTAAAACACAGGAGTGGAAAATTGGGTACCTTATTATCTCAAACTTCACTTAATAAGGTTAAAATTAGGAATAACCAAATATAAGTAAGGTTAGAATCTCAACTATGTGATTAACAGAACTTTGAGGCAGAATAAGATAATGGTGCTAACTTCCCACACACTCTTTTAATATTTTATCCATGAAATCTCAGGAAGGCATGACACAACTATCACTGAAACTAATAAAAATGAAAAAAAAAATAAATACACGGTATTCCAAGTGAGCAAAACTTGTATTAACTGAAGGTAGTATTCAGGATGTCATTTTAAAAAGAAAGTGAAGAATTTGCTAGTGTTCTGGACATTGAATCTGGGATGCAGAAATGGCCTGGATGAGATGTCTCTTGAGGCTACCCTTCTGCTTTTCTAATTGAGTGCTTACCAAGAGACTTGTGATTATTTATTTGATTTCTCAAATGCCCTATTAGTGGAAAGGAGATACTAAGGATAGAAAATATAAGCATTCCGATCACTAAAACATAAACCTCATCTTCTTATCACCACCATTGTGATTTAATGCAGTCAAAATGATGATTCATACTTAGTTTGAGACCATATAAGTTGAATAACTTTACTGCTTTTATTAGGTCATATGTTTTTCATATTATACTTTCCATTTGAATCTTGGATGTAAGGACAGAAAAATACCATAAATTTCTGTCTGAAGTTCTTCTAAAACAGATAACACCAGTCAAGATAATTTGCTATAAGGTCAGTAGTACATCTGCTAATATTAGTAGTACGCACACAGAATTGATAGCGTAATGGATGAAATTGAGATCCCTTCTATTATCTAAAATTATTATGAACTCACTCAGCTTTCATTATTTAAAAAGTTAAATCTTATCCTCATTAACACCATTGAAAAGTATATTGAACAAGACAATACTGAACACCACTAATAGAGATAGTGATATAATCTGATAGGCTGCTTTTATGGACCACTGGCCTCTATATTTGTTTCCTGAGGCTACTATGACAAATTACCACATATTTGGTGGTGACTTAGAATAACACGAATTTATTCTATCACAGTTTTGGTAGCTGGAAGTCTGAAATATGGCAAGGTTGCATGCCTTCTGGGAGAATCCATTCCTTGCCTCCTCCAACTTCTGGTGGCTACCCCAGAATTCTTGAGTTTGTGGCTGTATAACTTTAATCTCTGCCTCCATCTTCATATCTTCTATTCCTTTGTGTGTCCAACTCCTCCTATCCTGTCTTATAAGCACACTTGTCACTGGATGTCTGTCCTATCCAGATAATCCAGGATGATTTCTTCATCTTAAGATCCTTAACTTAATTACATTTGCAAAGACCCTTTCTCAAACAAGGTAATATTCACGGGTTCTAGAATTAGGAAATAGACATATCCCTTTGTGGGTCATCATTCAGACCATTATAGCCTCCTAGTCACGTTTTGCCTTATCACTTATTGTATTTTCATCATAGAACTTGGAACTGGAACATTTTAGGATACAGTGACTCTATATTTTAGTAAAAAGTGTGTAATTAATGCCATAGAATGTAATCAACCTCATTAGTAATTCCTCCTCCCTGTTGAACAACTTGAAGCGTTGCAGGACTGAAGACTTTCATTTCCTGTGTAATTATCCCACACCTTTGGTTATGACATCGTTCTGCTAGAAAATAATATGTTAGAGCTATTATTCTAAGACTTCAATCCCTGAGTTGGATCAATATGTTCTGAGATCTGCTTTGAACGGTAGTAGGCTCAGAAGCTTGATTTAATGAATATATCCAGAGGTTATTTAATTTAGAGCAACTGATTCAGATCCAAAAAGACCAAATTCATAAGATACATTTATATAGAGGTTAATATAATACTCTTATCCAATTTTGTAAGAGGACATAATAATAATAAGAGATACCAAAATAGCTAGTTCACTTAGTTGGTACATGATATTCCTGTAGGAAATTTAGATAAAAACTCATATTAAGAACATAATATAGCCTTAAATATGAAGTATCTGAGCAAGTATAGTGACTTTTTTAGTTTTAAATGGTAGATTTGAACATTTAAATCTGTGCCTGAGTTCTTGACTGAAGCTGTGTAAGTCTCAGGGTGACCTGAAATTGTAGTTTGTTATTCAGGATAGTCTTTCCATGTGGAAGTTTAGAAGACAAATTATTTTATCTTTGAGTGTTTTTATTCTGTATTCCATGAACAACAAACATTTCATAAGGAAATTTGGGGAAGACAATTGTCTAAGTGCCTATTATAGCTATACTAATCATATTAATTTCAGTTTTAATCAAATCATCTTGATTAAAATTTGGATGATCCTGATTCTAGTGACTTTGTAATATGTCAACTTGGATAGGCTGAACTAAATTTCCAAGAATTCCATTTTCTGTATGTTTATGGTAAGGATTAACCCCAAGACAGAGTCTTCTGAAAGATTTGAAGGGCAGAAGTTTATCAGCACCCATTTTGTAGCTCACAATGTTTCCTTTGATTGACTGACTTATCTTGCTTGCGTGAAGCAGTAACTGAGCCTACACTGGCTCCACTTCCCCGTAGATCTTCCTTCAACTTCTCCAGCTCCCGGACCACGTGTGTATTTTTACCTCCATGACAAAGAATTGCAGCTTCAGCAGGACATTCACATCACAAAGTCAGAGGAAACAAGAACTAACATAGTTCTTGGTTTGTTTTCATCATCCCTACTTCATGCTTGTGGGCTACAATTTATTCTTGTTCTCTACACTTTGAACCCATATTCTTTCCATGATAGCCTTCCCTGTGCACTTCCAGGTCTACCAGCATCAGATGCAAAGTAAACAGCCTTTCAGATACTGCTTAACAAACTCCCACAATTGCATAAGTAGACCTCAGAGGGCCGAGCTGAGAGCTATGGACAATTATTTCCAGAAATTTAGATCTAATCCAGAAACTTTGCCAGGTAGATTTCAGAATTGCTATGGAACAATGATTTTTTTTGTGGCTCCCATTTTCCTTTTCTTTAATCAAGAGTGCCTATAGCACTTATTGCATGCTTGTCTCACTGTTATATGTTGGGTGGGTAATGGATAGGTGGCTCATCTCTTTAGTTTTACAGGTCTACAAATTGAGAGAAACTGTACAGTAATAACTATACTTATGGAACTACATGCAAAAAGGCTAATTCATTTCTGAACCTAACATAGATGATATAATTTTGGACTTTGAGATGATGCTGCAATGGGATAAGACTTTCGTGAAACTTAGGAGGCAGTAAGTGTACTCTGCATGTGGGAGGGATATGAATAACTGGAAGCCAGTGAGCACCTCCAAGATGGCCTTCAGTGATTTCCTCCTTCTGATATTTTTGTCTTTGTGCCCTTGTACATCACCTCCCTCTTGAGAATGGGCTGTGTTGAGTGTCTTGCTACTAGCAAAAAGAATGTGATAGATAATGGTGGAGTATCACATCCATGATTAGGTTACAAA
The DNA here is from genome assembly GCF_000001405.40 of Homo sapiens. Lineage (NCBI taxonomy): Eukaryota > Metazoa > Chordata > Mammalia > Primates > Hominidae > Homo > Homo sapiens. The sequence continues at coordinate 34,184,705 of NC_000023.11, forward strand.
AAGACTATATGCTCTTCTCTCTCTCTCTCTGTTCTTATTTTATGAAGAAGCAAGCTGTCCTGTTGTTAGTAACCCCTCTGGTTAAACACCTGAGGCCTGCCAAAAGCTATTTGAGTGAGCTTAGAAGCAGTTACTTTCGTAGTCGTGTGTTCACATAAGACCACAGACCTGGTGAGCACCTTGACTACAGTCTTATGAGAGAACTTAAGGATCATACATCCAGCCAAGCCATTCCCAGATTCCTAACACACAGGAATTATGACATAATTAATATCTGTTGTTTTAAGGCCATAGAATAACAAATTGGGGATAATTTTTTATAAAAAATAGATCACTAATACATTGACACGGGCTTAATTGGTTAAATGATTATTTATTAAATTTTAACACTTTTACAAATGGAAAATATTAATCATTACTTGTCACATTTATTAATTCCATACTTTTACGAAAAGTGAGAAATCCTATTCTCAGGTACTGAGGTATCATATTAGACTTATGTACCAACAACATATTTCAATTGCTTATTAATGTATCTAGTTTTACTATCCTCTAACTAATAGACCTTCATTTTAAAATATTGTATTAAAACTAAATTTGGAACCCCAATTTTAAATATTCAGTCCATATCTCTTGTTATCAATGATATTTAAAAATAAACCATGTCGGCTGGGCACGATGGCTTACACCTGAAATCCCAGCACTGTGAGAAGACTAGGCAGGCGGATCACTTGAGGTCAGGAGTTCGAGACCAGCCTGGCCAACACAGTGAAACCCAAAAATTAATCAGGCGTGGTGGCCTAGGACTGTAGTCCCAGTTACTAGTGAGGCTGAGGAACGAGAATCTATTGAACTTGGGAGGTGGAGGTTGCAGTGAGCTGAGGTTGTGCCACTGCACTTCAGCCTGGGTGATAGAGTGAGACTCCGTCTGAAAAAAATAAATAAACAATGTGTTCACTCTGTTTGATTGGTTTTCCAAAAAAATTATTAATTTTATTTACATTTTTAAATTTAATTTTAAATTAAATTTTAAATTAAATTTTAATTTTAATTTTAATTTTCTGGAAACATAGGTGTATGTTTATGGGGTATACAAGATCTTTTGATACACACATGCAGTGTGAAAGAATCACATCATGGAAAATGGATATCTGTCCCCTCAAGAATTTATCTTTCTGATACAAATATTTCAATTACACTCTTTTAGTTATTTGTAAAAGTACAATCTATTATTGACTATAGGCACCTTGTTGTGGTATTATATAGTAGATTTTATTCATTTTTTCTAACTATAATACCTTTTTGTACACATTAGACACCCCACATTCCCCCCAGGCCCCTACTACCCTTCCCACCCTGCGGTAACCATCCTTCTACTCTCTATGTCCATGAGTTAAATTGTTTGGATTTTTAGATTCCAAATATAAGTGAGAACATGCAGTGTTAGTCTTTCTGTGCCTGGCTTATTTCACTTAATATGCTGAACTCCAGTTCCATCAACGTTGGTGCAAATAACAGGATCTCATTCATTTCTATGGCTGAATAGTACTCCATTGTGGAAATTTTACTACATTTTCTTTATCCAGTCATCTATTGCGGGACACTGAAGTTTCTTCCAAATATTAGCTATTGCACGCAGTGCTGCAACAAACATAGCAGTGCAGATACCTCTTCAATATACTGATTTCCTTTCTTTGGGATATAACCCAGCAGTGGGATTTCTGGATTATATGGTAGCAATAGTTTTAGATTTTTGAGGAACCTCCACATTGTTCTCCATAGTGGGTGTTCTAATTTACACTCCCGCCAACAGTGTACACAGGTTCCCTTTTCTCCACATTTGTTACTAGCATTTGTTTTTGTGTGTCTTTCCGATATAAGCCATTTTTAACAGGGATGAGATGATATTTCATTATAGTTTTGATTTGCATTTCTATGATGATCAGTAATGTTGACTACCACTGCATATGCCTGTTTGCCACTTGAATGTCTTCTTTTGAAAAATATCTACTCATATATTTTGCCCATTTTTTATTGGATTATTGGATTTTTTACCTATAGAGCTGTTTGGGCTCCTTGTATATTCTGGTTATTGATCCCTTGTATTATGGGTAGTTTGCAAATATTTTCTGCCATTCTGTGGGTTGTGTCTTCACTTTGTTGATTGTATCTTTTGCTGTGCAGAAGCTTTTTAACTTGATGTGATCCCATTTGTTCATGTTTTCTTTGGTTGCTGGCACTTGTGGGGTATAGTTCAAGACATTTTTGCCCAGACCAATGTCCTGGAGAATGTCCCCAATGTTTTCTTTTAGTAGTTTCATAGTTTGAGGTCTTAGATTTAATCCATTCTGATTTGATTTTTGTATATAGTGAGAGAAAGGGGTCCAATTTCATTCCTGTGCATATAGATTTTCAGTTTCCTCAGCACCATTTATTGAAGGGACTGTCTTTTATCCAGAGTAGGTTCTTGGCAACTTTTTTGAAAATAAGTTCACTGTAGGTGTACGAATTTGTCTCTGGGTTCTCTATTCTGTTCCATTCATCTATGTGTCTGATTTTATGCCAGTACCATGCTGTTTTGATAACTATAGATTTGCAGTATAATTTGAAGTCAGGTAATGTGATTCCTCCAGTTTTCTTCTTTCTGCTTAGAATGGCTTTGGCTATTCTGGGTCACTCGTTACTCCATACAAATTTTAGGATTGATTTTTCTATTTCAGTGAAGAATGTCATTGGTATTTTGATAAGGATTGCATTGAATCTGTAAATTGCTCAGTGTAGTATGGAACTTTTAACAATATTGATTCTTCTCACCCATGAACGTGGAATATTTATCCATTTTTTAGAGTCCTCTTCAATTTCCTTCATCAGTTTCTTACAGTTTTCATTATGGAGAGCTTTCACTTTTTTGGTTAAGTTAAATCCTAGGTATTTAATTTTATGTGTGGCTATTGTAAATAGGAATACTTTTACATTTTATTTTTTTACATAGTTTACTGTTGGTATATAGAAATGCTACTGATTTTTGTATGTTGATTTTGTATTCTGCAACTTTACTGAATTTGTTTATTAGTTCTAATAGTTTGCCTGTGGAAACTTTAAAATATAAAATATAAAATCACATCATCAGCATACAAGGGTAATTTGACTTATTTCTTTCCAATTTAGATGCTCTTTATATCTTTCTCTTATCTGATTGCTCTAGTTAGGACTCCCAGTACTATGTTGAATAACAGTGGTGACAGTGGGTATCCTTGTCATGTTCCAGATCTTAGAGGAAGGACTAGGTTTTTCACCACTTAGTATGATACGAGTTGTGGGTCTGTTGCATATGGCTTTTATTATGTTGAGGTATGTTCCTTCTGTCCCCACAGCGTTGAGGGTTTTTATCATGAAGCGATGTTAAATTTTATCAAATGCTTTTTCAGCATCAATTGAAACAACAATCATATGGTTTTTATCCTTCATTCTGTTGATATGATAAGTCATGTTGATTGATTTGTATGTTTTGACCCGTGCTTGCATCCCAGGGATAAATACCACTTGGTAATGATAATGTACTGTTGAGTTCAGTTTGCTAGTATTTTCTTGAGGATTTTTATGTGAATATTCATGAAAGATATTGGCCTATAGTTTTCTTTTGTTGATGTGTCATTATCTGGCTTGGAATCAGGTTAATACCTCATAGAATGAGTCTGGAAGTATTTCTTCCTCCTTTATTTTTGGAATTGTTTGAGTAGCACTGGTATTAGTTGTCCTTTAAATGTTTAGTAAAATTCAACAGTAAAGCCACTAGGACCAGGGCTTTCCTTTACTAGGATTATTTTTATTATGACTTTAAACTGATTACTTGTTTTTTTTTCTGTTCAGGTTTTGGATTTCTCCCTCATTAAATATTGTAAGTTTGTATGTATATTAGATCCATCTCATGCTGCTACAAAGAACTGTCCAAGACTGGGTGATTTATAAAGAAAAGAGTATTAATTGACTCACAGTTTCACATGGCTGGGGAGGCTTCAAGGAACTTACAATCATGGCAGAAAGGGAAGCAAATACCTCCTTCTAAACGTGGCGGCAGGACAGAGAAATGCCAAGCAAAGGGGGAAAACCTCCTTATAAAACCATCAGATCTTGTAAGAACTCACTTGGTGTCATGAGAACAGCATAGGGGTAACTGCCCCTATGATGCAATTACCTCTCACTGAGTCCCTCCCATGACACATGGGGATTATGGGAGCTACAGTTCAAGATGAGATTTGGGTGGGGACACAGAGCCAAACCATATTATCAAGCAGCTGGCCCCTCCAAGATTTCACCTTGTCAAATTTCAAAACACAATTATGCCTTCTGAACTGTTCCACAAAGTCTTAACTCTTCAGCATTAACCCAAAAGTTCATAGTCTCATCTGAGACAAGGCAAGTCCCTTCTGCCTATGAGCCTGTAAAATCAAAAGCAAATTAGTTACTTCCTAGATACAGTTAGGGTACAGGCATTGGGTAAATGCTCCTGTTCCAAAAGGAAAAAATTGGCCAAAACAGAGGGGCTACAGATCCCATGCAAATTCAGAATCCAAAGAAGTAGTAATTAAATTTTAAAGCTCCCACATAATCTCCTTTAACTCCATGTCTCTTATCCAGGTCACGCTGATGCAAGAGATGAGCTTCCAGGGCCATGGGCAGCTCTGCCCCTGTGGCTTTGCAGGATACAATCCCCCTCCTGGCTGCTTTTACAGGCTGGCATTGAGTGTCTGTGGCTTTCCCTGGCATACAGTGTAAACTGTTGGAGGATCTACCATTCTGGGGTCTGGTGGATGGTGGCCCTCTTCTCACAGCTCCACTAGGCAGTGCCCAAGTGGGGACTTTGTGTGGGGGCTCTGAACCCACATTTCCATTCCACACTGCCCTAGCAGAGATTCTCCATTAGGACTCCACCCCTGCAGCAAACTTTGGTCTGGACATCCAGGCATTTCCATACATCCTCTGAAATCTAGGCAGAGGTTTCCAAACCTCAATTATTGACTTCTGTGTACCCACAGGCTCAACACGATGTGAAAGCCACCAAGGCTTGAGGCTTACACCCTCTGAAGCCACGGCCCAAGTTGTAACTTGGCCTCTTTTAGCCACGGTTGGAGTGGCTAGTACACAGGGCACCAAGTCCCTGGGTTGAACACAGCAGGGGTCCCTGGGTGTGGCCCACAAAACCATTTTTTTCTGTTAGGCCTCGAGGCCTGTGATGAGAGGGGCTGCCGTGTAGGTCTTTGACATGCCCTGGAGACATTTCCCCATTGTCTTGGTGATTAACATTCGGCTCCTTGCTACTTATGCAAATTTCTGCAGCCAGCTTGAATTTCTCCCCAGAAAATGTTTTTCTTTTTTTTCTATTGCATAGTCAGGCTGAAATTTTTCCAAACTTTTATGCTCTGCTTCCTCTTGAACACTTTGCTGCTTAGAAATTTCTTCTGCCAGATATCCTAAATCATTTCTCTCAAGTTCAAAGTTCCATGGATCTCTAAGGCAGGGGCAAAATGCTGCCAGTCTCTTTGCACAGCAAGAGTGACCTTTACTCCAGTTCTGAACAAGTTTCTTATCTCCATCTGAGACCACTTCAGCCTGGATTTAATTGTCCATATCATTATCAGCATTTTGGTGAAAGCTATTCAACAAGTCTATAGGAAGTCCCAAATTTTCCCACATCTTCCTTTCTTCTGAGCCCTCCAAGTCTCTAGGATGTTCGAAACTTTCCCACATTTTTCCTGTCTTCTTCTGAGCCCTATAAACTATACATACTTCTGCCTGTTATCCAGTTCTAAAGACACTTCCACGTTTTCAGGTATGTTTACAGCAGCACCCCACTCTCTGTGGTACCAATTTTCTGTATTAGTCCATTCTCATTCTGCTATAAAGAACTGTCCAATTTTTATAGGAAATTTTTAATTTTTAATTGATTTTTACAGGAAAGAGTTTTAATTGACTCACAGTTCCACATGGCTGGGGAGGCCTCAGGAAACTTACAGTCGTGGCAGAAGGGGAAGCAAATATGTGCTTCTAAACATGGCAGTAGAAAAGAGAATTGCCCAGAAAAAAGAGGAAAAGCTCCTTATAAAAGCATAAGATCTCATGAGAACTCACTTACTATCACGAGAACAGCATGGGAGTACCTGCCCCAATGATTCAGTTACCTCTCACCAGTTTCCTCCCATGACACATGGGGATTATGGGAACTACAATTCAAGATGAGATTTGGGTGGGGACACATAGCCAGACCATAGCAGTATCTGTTTAGGAATTTGTCCATTTTTTATCATTTTTTCTAATTTATTATCATACAGTTGCTGACAGTAGCTATTAATGATCCTTTGAATTTCTGCAATATCATTCTAATGTTTCTTTTTGCATTTCTGATTTTTTAAATTTTGATTTTCTCTGTTTTCTTAGTCTGGCTAAAGGTAACTTTAAAGAGAATTAACTTTGTGTTTCTTTTGTATTGTCTTTTTCATTTCAGCTTTATTTATTTCTGGTCTGATCTTTATCATTTATTTTATTCTACTAATTTTGGATTTGGTTTCCTCTTGCTTTCGTAGTTTGTTAAGATGCATTTTAGATTTTTTTTAAGTTTTTCCTCTTTTTTGATGCAGGCACTAATAGCTCTAAACTTCCCTCTTAGTACAGGTTTTGCTCTATGCCATAGGTTTTGTTATGTTGTGTTTCCATTATTTTTTTCAAAAAAAAAGTTTATATTTTCTTCTTGATTTCTTCGTTGATTCACTGGTCATTCAGGAACATATTGTTTAATTTTCATGTATTTGCAGAGTTTCCAAAATTCCTCTTGCTATTCACTTATTTTTGTTCTCTTGTGGTCAGGTAAGGTGCTTGATATCATTTCAATTTTTTGAATGTTTTTAGACTTGTTTTGTGACCTAATATATGATCTATCCTTGAGGATAATCCGTATGCTGAGATAAACAATGTGTATTCTGCAGCCATTGGATGAAACGTTCTGTAAATATCTATCAGATTCACTTGGTCTATAGTGCAGATTAAGTCTGATGTCTCTTTGATGATATTCTGTCTGGATCTGTGTAATGCTAAAAGTGGGGTATTAAAGTCTCCAGCTATTATTGTATTGGGGCCTATCTCTCTCTTTAACTCTAATAATACTTGCTTTATATATCTGGATGCTCCAGTGTTGGGTGCATATATATTTTAAATTGTTATATCCCCTTGGTGAAGTGACTCCTTTATCTTTATATAGTGAACTTCTTTGTCTCCTCTTATAGTTTTTGTCTTGAAATCTATTTTGTCTGACATAAGGATACCTACTCCTGTTCTCTTTTAGTTTCTATTGGCATGGATTATCTTTTTTACATCCCTTTATTTTCAGTTTATGGGTATCTTTACAGATGAAGTGTGTCTCTGGTGAGCCGCAGATCAATGAGTCTCTTTTAAAACTTCATTCAGCCACTCTGTCTTTTGATTGAGGAGTTTAGTCCATTTACAGTCAATGTTATTATTGTTAAGTAAGGACTTTTGCTATTTTGTTATTTGTTTTCTGGTTGTTTTGTGGTCTTCTTTCTTTACTTCCTGCCTTCGTTTAGTGAAGGTGATTACCTCTCATGATAGCATTTAGTTTCTCACTTTTTATTTTTTAGTTTTTGGTTTGAGGTTACCATGAGGCTTGCAAATACTATCTTACTACCATTATTTTTAACCTAATAACAACATAACACTCTTTGCATAAACAAACAAGAAAAAAAAACTGATAAAAACTAAGTCTTAAATTCATCCTCCAGGTGCTTTAACTTTTTATTCTATTTATTCCTTCTTGTATTGCCTATGTCTTGAAAAGTTGTTGTTGTTATTATTTCTTATTGTTTCATTATTTACTCGTTCTACTTAGAATAAGAGTAGTTTACACACCATAGTTACAGAGTTATACTATTTTTACCTGTGTACTATTACCAGTGAGTTTCATACCTTCTAGTTATGACTTATTGCTCATTAACATCATTTTCTTTCTCATTGTAGTACTCCCTTTAGCATTTCTTATAGGACAGGTCTGGTGTTGATGAAATCTCCCAGCTTTTGTTTGTCTGGAAAAGTCTTTATTTTTCCTTCATGTTTGAAGGATATTTTTCGCTGGATATACCATTGTAGGTGAAAGATTTTTTTCCTTCAGTACTTTAAATAGGCTATGCCACTCTCTCATGGCTATAAGGGTTCCACTGAAAAGTCTGCTGGCAGATGTATTGAAGATTTATTGTATGATATTTGTTCTTTTTCTCTTGCTGCTTTTAGGATCCTTTCTTTACCCTGGACCTTTGGAAGATTGACGATTAAATGCCCTGAGGTAGTCTTTTCTAGGTTAAACCTGCTTGGTGTTCTATTACCTTCTCGTACTTGGATATTGATATCTTTAGATTTGGGAAGTTCTCTGTTATTATCCCTTTGAATAAACTTTCTGCCCCTATCTTTTTCTTTACTTCTTTAAGTCCAGTAACTCTTAGATTTGGCTTTCGAGGCTATCTTCTAGGTCCTGTAGGTGTGCTTTATAGATTTTTATTCTTTTTACTTTTGTCTCTGTTTACTGTGTATTTTGAAGTATCTTGTATTCAAGCTCACTGATTCTTTCTTCTGATTCATCAATTCTGATAGTAAAGGACTCTGATGCATTCTTCAGTATGCCAATTGCATTTTCAGCTCCAGAATTTCAGCTTGATTCTTTGTAACTATTTCAATCTCTTTGTTAAATGTATATGATAGAATTTTGCATTCTTTATCTGTGTTATCTTGAATGTCTTGGAGTGTCCTCAACACAGCTATTTTTGAATTCTTTTTCTGAAAGGTCACAGATCCCTATTTCTCCAGGATTGGTCCTTGGTACCTTATTTAGTTCATTTGGTAACGTTAACTTTTCCTGGATGGTGTTGATGCTAGTAGATTTTCTTCGGTGTCTGGACATTGAAGAGTTAGTTATTTATTACAGTCTTCCCTGTCTGTGCTTGTTGGTATCCATCCTTCTTAGAGGGGCTTTCCCTATGTTTGAAAGGACTTACTTGTTATTATCTGTGCTGTAACTGCTTTAGGGGACACTTTCATTTCAGTAATGCTGTGGTTCTAGTTGACTTGTGGAGGTATCACCCTGATGGTCTTGGATATGATCCAGGAGAATTTTCTGGATTACCAGGCACAGTCTTGTTTTCTTCCAGTACTTTTGATTGTTCTTATTAAATGTGTCTTACACCCTACATATGACTTCCTACAGTTTTAAATATTAATAATATGTTTAATAATCTACCACATATGTTTATATTTTAGGTTAATGTCAAGCTTATTAAGCTGTACTTTAGTGCATTAAAAAATATGGGTAGCTTTTAGACATATCTACACAATCACCTTGATTGTTTTGGAAGTCAGAATCCTCTTACTAGTATCTTCTGTTTTCTGTGATAGAGAAGAAGGAAGCACATAAGAACTGTGGGCTTTAACTTTCCTTTTTTCTTATCTCAGTTTTCTAGTAACATTAAACCCTCTCTCTCTCCAAATCCTGCTTTACTTCTATTTTCTAAACACAATTGAAATAACCCTATCTGTGATCATAATATCTTACCACAAACCTTCACTTATTTCATGTTTTATGATTTCTGGTTTTTTGTTGTTGTTGTTGTTGTTAGTTAGTTGGTGAGGTGGATAATTTGTTGTTTGTTTCTACACTAATCCTAAAATGTTTCATACTATGTTTTTTGTTTTCACAAAAATCAAGTTTTTTTAGTTAAGTTATAGACAGCTAATATATCTACCTTTTATTTCATTATACTTTTAAGCAAAAAATATTACATGAATGTCCTAACTTATATTTCTCTCTATTCTGGTTCATAAATATACAAGCATTTATTATTGACACATAGCAAAACATAAAAATAAACACACAACAAAGTATTATTGACTAAATAACCTCCAGAAACATTTTCTGCATTCTTATTTTTTTTCTTGGACTCTTCCACATTCATGTAGGAGTTGGGTTGCTTAAAGCAGCCTACTAATCTTTATGAACCGAAACTATACTCAAGTCCATATTTTTTCTCCTTTCTTATTCCCAATGTGTTTTCCCTCATGTTTATTGTCTCTTTATGGAGCTTATATCTCCTCTCTGCATTCATACTTCTATTACTTAATGTACTTATCTCCACAATCCCTGTCTCCCCCTCCCTCCCTCCCTCACCCCAGAACCCCCCTAACTAAACCATTTCACTCTCTTTAACAATACTTTTACAAGCAAACTATATATCTAACCTAAATTCTTACAGCTGTAGGTTCAGGCCATTCTCCTGTTTTACTATCACTTTGGCAAAACAACAACAACAAAAAAACTGTACAGTATTCTTCATAAATTATTTATGCAATGCTTACTTCTTGGCTATTTTACGTATTCTGTCATATTTTCCCTTAATTATTCCTTACAGGATCTATTTCCTACCCTGAACTTTGCCAAAATTGATAGTAACCAACTTGACAAACATAATCAGGGTGCTTTTATGATCCCTGACAATAGTCGTTAAAAATTGCCAGGTTATGACATTAAAATAAATGCTTAGAGTCATATGTTAACATGATAATTAGATCAATAACTTGGTCTAAAATGAAAAGTCTTCTCCAGATATGCCAAAGGTAACTTGAAATGGAAACTAACAGAATGACCTAAATAAACATATTACTGCTAACTATTAGCTGCTCCCTTTGAAGGGTCTGTTTGTAGGTGTCCTGATGAAATGCTATCTTGATCTTATTTAATATTTTCGTTAACAATCTGGAAAATAATAGTATCATTTAATTAAACTTTGAAGTGAATGGAAATTAAGAAAATGTGCAAACAACTGCTGAAGAGAGAAATAATATAAATAAACTAATAGGGGTTAACAAACTGGCAGGAAATGAAATGATTGCAAATAAAAAATAAGTGCTAGCTCATTTACAATAAAATTAGGTGACATTTAAAGAGTTAATATTTTCGTTAAACTTCAAGGAGGCAAAATTCTGTGGTAAGTACTAGAATAAAGGAGACAAAGTACATGTTCTGTATTGAAGGACATCACAATCTAGTGACCAGCAAGCTATATGGTCCTTAAAATTAAAATTTCAGTGGAATATTGTAAGATCCCTAGAAATGACTCAGAGCTCACTATCCCACTTCAGATTTATGATATGATATGATATGATATGATATGATATGATATGATATATAAACCAAGACCTACATTTTTCACTAAAGACTGACCACAATAATTGTGCCATTTCAGCATTAAGCCATGCTTGCTCTATTATGATCATGAGTTGGAATACATATCATAAAGGGTAAATATTAACAGATACTCCCTGACTCAATGACTTACAATTTTAATATGTCAAGAAAGTGTAAATGCTACAAATCTGGCAATAAACAATCAGTGCATCTGTTATCCACATTGCATAGGTAGATAAAATATCTTTGGATGATTTTCCTGGCATATTTTTAATGAAAAATTAAAGAGAAGATCTTTTTTGAACCTCAAAGAAAATTCAAGTCATATTTTCATTTCAGAATTGGTAAGCAAATGTTAAAACTTAGTTTAGATGACTCAATTTTTTAAATGTGTTACTTTTAGCTCCTGCCCCCAACGTGGAGTGGGAGGCTTTCATGTGTGTTCTTAAAAAAATTTAAATTAATTTTAAACTGTATTTAAGCAATTTAAACTATAATTACAAGCACATCATTAAAAGCTTTTGTTTTCTAATTTCAACAGCCTGGAGACCACCAATATTTATCTTTATCACTAAGGAAACTTTTGTTATTTTCAAATATATAACCCTCTGGTTTCTCTACACCAGTGCTTTTCTATAGGTAGCTGCTAGCCACATTCACTTTTGCAATTTAAAATAAAGTTAAACATAATTAAAAATGTTCTTCTTCAGTTGCACTGGCCTCATTTCAAGTGCTATAGTCACATATATTTATGGCTACTATACTGGAAAGCACAGATATAGAATATTTCCATCATTATCACATAAAGTTCTATTGGACAACAGTGCTCTATAATAAGATTAAACTTCTTAAAAATATGTCCGTTGACAAGGAAAATGGCATCCACCATTTCCTTTTCTTAGGTTTAGGCCTTGATAAATCTCCATCTTGAAACTTGTAGAGATAAAAACAAAACTACTTATTTGTGTAATTTGAGACTTTCTTGATTATGTATAAGTAGAAAAAATACAAAAATAAATTTGATGAGGAGGCCAATATCATACTAAAATATTAACTAAAGAGGTCTATTTAAAATATCTATCTTTATGAGAACAGCCTTCTTGCTGTCATTTTTGGCTTTATATCAAGTAAATATTATTCATTAAGTGATAAAGTAAATAAACATTTAACATTTCAAAGTTAATTGATTTTGAATACTAAAACCTGTTCCTCGCACAATCTTTGTCATTCTCAGAGGAAGACTGTGGGAGAAACTGGTGTATTTCTAATCTACTCGTTGCTCAAGTCAGAATATTAGATGTTTTCTTAACTATTCTCTTTCCCCGTAACTCCTGTCACATCCATCAGCAAACTGTTGATTTTACTTTCAAAATTAAAAAAAAAAATCCAACCAGTTATTGACACCATCATCAATGCTACCATATTAGCTGAAGGTATCTATCCGTCTTATATCATCTTATCCCTTTTGGATAAAACTGTTACTCCTTTTCTAACCTTGACTTTTCACAATCTACTCCCCTCTTCACTGATATTTTAAAACATACTCTGATCATACCACTGTTCTACACAAAATTTTTCAGTGTCTTCTTGTCTCAGAGCAAAATCTAGCATTCTTACTATCGTACATAAAGCTCTATATTATCTGCATCCCCAACTTCCCCAACCTCTGTGCTTCATCTAACATTTTTTTTCCTTATTCATTCACCAGGATCCAGCCACAGAGTTTTCCTTTCTGATCCTTCAATTCACTCTGCATATTGTTGCCTCAGGGCCTTTGCAATTGTCCCCACTCCCAGTAATGATCTTCCTTCAGATATTTCTGTGACTGACCATAGAGACTTTTAGGTCAGTGCTGAAATGTAGCCTTATCACAAATGGGTTTCCTCAATATTCTATGTAGAATGATAAATCATATCCTTATTTCTGTTAACCTGATTCATGCTTTTTTGTATCACTTGTCATATTATAAATACGCTCCTTCAGTTTTTAAATATCTAGTCATCTCACAATAAAGTTCAATGAGGGTATAGAAAATTGTAGACCTTTTTTTGTTCATTGTTGTTTCCCTAGTGACTAGAACCTCATTTGTTAGGTTTCCAAAATATTTGATAAGTAGTTCAACATTAAAATATGTGACAGCTGCAGGGAGTGGTTAACTGAGAGCCTCCGGGTGCAACCTTTGGAATTCACTGCAATATTTACATTAGTGGCAAGTTCCTGGTCAGTGACTAGGAGCAGCAATGACTGCTCCTAGTCAGTGATTGAGCATAGCAAGGTTAATGAAGCATGACCAATATATGACCTCATTAATGGACAACATGAAGCTATGAAATATAGTCTAGGGCTTTTCTTACCTATCTTCATCTCCCTCTCCCTTCATTGGTGTCAGACATGCTTCATGGTCTATGTCTCTCCCTTTCTATCCTGGTTCCTTGCAGATTATTCTTTCATAGGCATTTACCTCAATACATTTCTTGTACTTCTGTATCTATCTAGGTGTCTGCTTCTGGGAGGACCTGAACTGACAGAGATTACCATTTTGAGTTTACTATTTATTTTTTAGGTATTATAATTATGCATAATAATTTGTTTTGAAAAAGAACTCTGTAGCTATATAAAGGAGAATTTTTTTTTTTTGACGGAATCTCACTCTGTTGCCCAAGCTGGAGTGCAGTGGCGAGATCTCGGCTCACTGCAAGCTCCGCCTCCCGGGTTCATGCCATTCTCCTGCCTCAGCCTCCTGAGTAGCTGGGACTACAGGCGCCCGCCACCACGCCTGGCTAATTTTTTGTATTTTTAGTAGAGACGGGGTTTCACCATGTTAGCCAGGATGGTCTCGATCTCCTGACCTTGTGATCCGCCCGCCTCGGCCTCCCGAAGTGCTGGGATTACAGGCGTGAGCCACTGTGCCCGGCCCTAAAAGAGAAAATTTAAATTGTATAGTGTGTGTGTGTGTGTGTGTGTGTGTGTGTGTGTGTGTGTGTGTTCGTGTTCTCTCTCCACTAGGGACTCAAGCTTCTCTTAGCATAGTGGTTGCCAGGATTAGTGGCTGAAGAGAGAAAGATCCAGGTACTAAGTTCAAGTAAGCATTGAGAGTCAAAACAAGAAGAGCTGAATTAGTCATCCGCCTATGTGGCTGCAAACAAGCAAGTAGCAGAAATAAAACTAAGAATTTTGAATTGAGTGAAATTGAGAAATAGAAATGGAGGCACAAGGCAAGACTGGGATAAAGTGAGATGCCTTGATCATTTTTTACAAAATAAATCATGAGACCTAATGCTGATTTTGTTTTGAGTTCTAGAGGATGCTGTGGGTGAGTGCTTACTGCACATTCACATTACAACATACTTCTTTCAACATGGAAGTAGATGATAAAATTTGAAATACGTTTTTTAAATTACATAGTATTTATTTTAATAATCTAGGTCTTTATTGTTTCAGTCTCTGTTTTGGTATGCCAGAGATTAAGAGCAATGTTCACAAAATGGAATACTGAGATTCTCAACGATTATTGAGAAATTTTCAAAAGAGACAGAGAGACTTAGAAGACATGGTTCCAAGCAGCAATATTGATGGTACTGAATGAAGTACTTAACTGCAGAGAACCACGTTCATAAAATTTTCAGTTCCTTTTTTGGACATTTTCCTCATTTAAGATTTTATTCTGAGTACGCTAACTCTGTTAATTGAATTATAGTATTAATTCATGCAGATAACAGCAAGTTGATTCACAGATTAGTTTGAGACCTACAATGCAGTAGTACTAAGGGCAATGCCATCTTAAAATGAAAGGAGTATCTAGGTTGGAATGCCAAGATAATCAACCTATAGTATAAGCAAAATGGGAAGAATTTACTTTTTCAGGGTGAAGAGGACGTGAAAGTTTTTTGAGCCTAATAACTACTTTTAAACTGATTAATTAATTTGAAACAATTCTGGGTGCATACTTTGAGTTGGGTACTGATGATCTAGGGATGTTGAACAAAACAGATAGGACCTTGCCCTTGTTGATATTTGGTATGCATTTCAAAATGGTTCTAGGAAGGGTAGTGGGGAGGGAGCAATAAAAGGGTTGGTTAATGGGCACGAAAATATAGATAGCAAGTAGTACAATGGGGTGACTACAGTTAGCAATTTATTATGTATTTTAAAATACTAGAAGAGTAGATTTAGAATGTTCCCAAGACAAAGAAATGATAAATGTTTGAGGTGATGGGTGCCAAAATTACCCAGATTTGATTATTACACCTTTTATGCTTGAATCAAAATATCACATACCTTACATAAATATATATAGCTATTATGTATCTATAAGATGTAAAAATAAAAAAGTTTATTCATTTATTCATGATTTTGGTAATGAACCAATTGAATTGGGAGTATAATTCAAGACTTTCTGGTTTTTTTTTCAAATACATTTATTTGTAGAGGAAAACATTCTATATAAACACCAGTTAGAAATATTGTAGAAGATAAAAAACACATTCTATTAATCTGGAGTATTAAAACAAGGAGGCATCCTACAAGCAAAATGTTATCAGTGAGATATATTTTGCAGAATCAGCCTAAACTCCTTCAGAGAAGTGGAGCAAAGAGGTTAGTGTTAAACATGTTAGAAGCATCCTATGGTGCAGACATTCACATTTTCTTGGTGTGACAGATTAAAAAGAAGTTTAATCCAATGGCATTTAAAACTGTCATTGGCCAAAAATAGTTGACTGGAAGGTAGGAAACAAGAAGGATAAAATTCAGTACAAAAGAGATGTGACATTAACACTGTTTATATATCATCACTTCAGTTCACAGTCTTAAGTGTCTGATAGAGCAGCAAAACATTCAAGGTATTTAAATATCTGACCACTAAGATCTGAAAGATATGTATTTCCTTCAATGCGATAGACTGGATAAGGGTAACATGGAGAATAGAATCAGTTATTTGCTGAGTTATACCTTAAAGGTCTTGCTATGAAGAACGGAGTGTTAATGATGCTCAAAAGGAAGTTTTGGTGCAAATTACAGACATCAGTGCACACATAATGTAGAAAGTTGAGATGAACAGGACAAACAGAAAATGTGGCAGTGACAAGAGATTATCTAGCTTCATTTGACGGAGTTATCAATTCAGCATTTGTAAAAACCCAAGAAGGCAAAAAAAAAAAAAAAAGTCACATTATAAATTGTATCATTAAATGGGATGATCTAGTCACATGGTTGTTAGGAGACCTGTGTTCTACAGGAAGTGAACACTGATTAATGACTTGATTCATTTTGGAAGGCTTTTGTCTAGTAAGAATATTAAAAGATTTTAGATAAATTTAACTTCCCCTTTCTTAAGATATACTCTCAGGTAAGATGATTAGTTTTTTTAGAAATGGCTGAATGTCAAGTCATGAAGAAATCTGATGAGACATGTAAATCCATGCTTAGTTGTGTGGTTATAAATTTGGAGCCTTCTAATGAGCATCCCTATTAAGCCTTTACGGTTCTCTTATTTGGCAATGTAAGCTCTTTTAATATTAGTATATTAGTTACACATATCTCTCAGGGCTGCAAATTACTCATCTTTAAGAAAACTTTCTATAAAGTTTTCCCTTTAGGAGACGGAACTGTTTAATGTTTTCACCATTAATGCAGCATGCAAACTTACTCAGGTAGTCAACAAAATATTGGGAAAAATATCAATTGTATATGATATGTATTTGTTTTTTAAAACTGCATTTAGAAATATAAATATTATATTACATTAGATCAATGAAATTATGCAATAAAGAACATATTTTTGTGGGGAAGCATATTTGTTTTTCTCTTCTATTAATTGAACATCATCAGTTCGTCCTTTTTTTAAAAAAAATAAAACCACATATTGTCATTGAATTGGGTTACTGATATCACTTTGGGATGAATTGACATCTTGCAAATATAAGTTTTCCCATCTTTAAAAAGGATATATCACTTCATATAATGAAATCTTCTTTAATATTTTTAGCAATGCTTTTGTATTGGAAACAGTAAGTAAGCAGTATAGCAGTCCATTTGGAGCTATCACTCTGATATAAAAAAATACAATTTATTTTTATATATTGACCTAGTAAACTATGACTAAGCTAAGTTCACTTAGTTATAGTCATTGCTTTGTAGATTGCTAAGGATATTGTATGTAGATAATTATATTATTAATAGATTCAGTTTTACATCTTCTTATTCAACCTTTAGATATTTATTTATTTTCATTAGTGTGCTGGCTTGAACCTCCAGAAGAGTGTTCAATAGAAGTGTTTACACTGAACACTCTTTCTCTTTTTTACCTTAGGGAAAACTTTTTCAATATTTCATCATTCACTATAATTTTAGATAATATTTAGATGCCTCCTATCAGAGTTAGAGTGTTCTATTCCTAGTTTTCTTCAAGTTTTTATTATAAACGGGTCTGAATTTTCCAGTGCTTTTTACTGTATCTCTTCAATGATCAAATGTTTTCTGCTTTATTTTGCTAATATGGAGATATATATTCTTGATTTTTAAATGTTAAACACACCTTGCCTTCCTGTGATAAATATCAGTTCATCATAAGGCATATAATATTATATTTAATTTCCTTATTTTAAGAGTTTTTATTTTAGGTTCATGAACAATACTGATGTACAGTTTTTATTGTAATAGCATTTTTGTCAGGTTTTGTTACAAGGTATTCCTGACCAAATAAAGCAAGTGAGTAAGTCTCCTTGCAGTCTCAATATTTTAAATAGTTTTCAAATAATGGTATTAGTTTCTTTTTAAGTGATTCATAGAATCCTGCACTTAAACCATTTGCAGTAGATTTCTTTGGTTTTTAACAAGATATTCAATTTCTTTAATAAATATAGGATTATCCATATTTTCTCAATAATTATGTAACCTTTGATAAATTTTGGTTTTTACAAATGTGTCTTTTTTTATCTGAGTTACCAAATTTCTTGTCATGATTGTTTTTTTAAATGATTCTCTTAAAAATGTAAAAAAAATCCCATTAATTATCTTTTAATGTCTGTAGGATATGTAGTGATAACCTTTCTTTATTTTCCAATTATAACATCTTTCTTTTGATTATTCTTGCTAGCAATTTAACAAATTGGTTATATATTTAGAGAACCAACTTCTGGTTTTGTTAAATTTTCTCTATTTTTGCATGTGTTCTATATCATTTTTTCTACTTTTAAATTGTTTCCTCTTTTCTCTGGTTTTAGGCTTGTTTTCCCATTTCTAGTTTCTTAAATGAAAATTAACTCACTAGTTTTAATAATCTCTTTGTTTTCAATATGAGTTTTTAATGCTACAAATTTCCCTGTAATCTCTGCTTTAGTTGTATCACATACAAAAGGAGGTATGTTGTATTTTATTATCACTCAGCTTGAAATATTTTATTTCTATTATGATTTTTTTTTGACACATGGTAATTTTAAAGTGTCTTGATTGATTTCTAAATTTTGACCTTTTATATTTATCTTTTTCTTATTAGTTTGAATTACATTACCTTTTGGCTATGAATCATAATCTATAACATTTAAATATTTTTAAATTTGTAGAACATGCCATGTGAACCTTGAAAGAATGTGTAATCTAAAATTATTGAGCATTATTGAGCAGAATGGCATTATGGTCAAGTTGGTTTATAGTATATGCCTCTTCTATATTCTCACTATTTTTTTGTCAATCACTGAACAAGTCATATAAAACTCTAAATTTTATAATGGATTTGTCTGCCTCTCTTTTTGACTCCATTACTTTTTTCTTCATGTATCTTTCTGAGTGCTGCCATAATAAAGCACCACAAACTGGGTGGCTTAAAACAGAATGTTATTGTCTCATAGTTCTGGATGCCAGAAGTCAAAAATCAAAGTATCAGCAGTATTGCTTCTTTGTGATAGATCTAAGGAAAACATTGTTCCAGACTTCTCTCCTAGCATTTGGTGATGGCCAGCAATCATTGGTACTCCCTAGTTTGTAGACACATCTCTCAAATCTCTGCCTCCATCTTCACATGGTGTTCCTCGTTTGTCTCTGTATCTTCACATGGCTGTATTCTTATAAAGACACCAGTCACACTGGATTAAGGGACTATCCTACTCCAATATGACCTAATATTAACTAATTATATATGCAATGACCCCATTTCCAAATAAGGTCACATTCTGAAGTACTTGAGATTAAGACTTCAACAAATCTTTTGGGAAGGAGGCAATTCAAACCATTACAATACATTTTGAAGCTCTGTTATTAAGCATATTCACATTTGTCATTTTTATGTTTTTCTGATGAAATGACTCTTTGATCTAACATTGTTTCTTCTGTTACTCCTCTTCTTAATATATTTTTATTTATATTTATTGTTTGCTATTGAGTTTCTATCCCAACAACTTTTGTTCTTCCATTCCCACTCAACTGCCTTCCTTATGATTATTTTTATGTTTTCCTAATCCCTTTGGGATTCATTTATTGGCCTTTTAGCAATATTCCCTTTGTACTCTTACTTTATTGTAGTTTGCTATAGACTGAAATATTCAAACTTGTGTTACATAGTTTCTCAGAGTTAATAGTCTACCACATAACATAAAATTTAAGAACCATTATGCCCCATCTAGTATATATGCTATTACAGTATATATTATATCCATATATATATACACATATATATATATTATAAACCCCTCAATATTGTGTTTTCCCCTGCAAATAATTATAATCGTCCTTTGGTATCAATGGAGGATTGTTTTCAGGACCTCTTGTGGATACAAAACTGCCTAGAATCTCAAGTCTCTAATATTAATATTAAAGTGGCATAGTATTTACATATAACATAGTATTTACATATAACATTTTTGTATGCTATAAATCTCTAGATTAGTTACAGTAATAACTATTACAATGTAAGTACTATGCAGATAATTGTTATACAGTGTTTAGGAAATAATGACAAGAAAAAAGGCTGTACATGTTCAATATAAATGCAATTTCTTTCTGAAATATTTTGCAGCTGAAGTTGGCAGAATCTACAGATGTGGAAACCATGAATACGGAGGGCTGACTGTGTACATTTTTAAATTAACTTAAGAAAATAAAAAATCTAAATACTTTTGTATATTTATGTGTATATCATTTGTAGTGCTCTTTATTTGTCCTGTATATTCCACTTGTACCTAGTATCATTTCCTTATAGTCTAAAGGACTTTTTGTTGAAATTGTTATATTACAGTTCTGCTGGCAACAATTCATTTAGCTTTCATTTATCTGAAAATATATATTTCGAAGGATATTATCATGGGGTATAGGAAAAAAAGACTTTCAGCACTTTAAATATGCAGTGCCTTTGATATATGGCCTCTGTTGTTTCTGATGATAAGTCAAATATTCTATAACTCTGTGTTCATTTGAATGCAGTGTGTTTGCTTTTCATGGCTACCATAAGGATTTTGTCTTTTTTTCTTGTTATCACTTGGCCATGCTGTACCTAAGTCTGATCATATTTATCCCTCTTGGGTTTTGATGAGACTCTAGGATTTGTAAGTCAGTTTTTCACAAAATTTGCAAATTATCAGCCATTAATTCTTCAAATATTTCTCTGTCCCATTCTCTTTCTTTTCTCCTTTGAGAAATGCAATTGTGTTTATATTAAACTGTTTGATATTTTCCCAAATATCACTAAAGCAATGCTCATTTATTTTCAATATTTATCCTTCATTTACTTCAGATTTTATTCTTTTTGCTGATTTATCCTTAAATTCACTGATGCTTTATTTTGTCCTTTCCTTTTTCTTGTTAATCCTATGCATAGATTTTTCCTCGTGTTTTAGTTGGCATTTAAAATTTTACATATTTATGGGATACAAGGTGGTATTTTGATATGTGTATGCAATGTGTAGGGATCAAATCAGAGTATTTAAAGTATCTGTCACTTCAAACATTTATTATTTCTTTATGTTGTGATCATTCAAAATCCTCTCTTCTAGCTTTTTGGAAATATACAATAAATTAGTTACCTTATTTGCCTTAACAGTGCTGCAGAACACTAGAATTCATTCCTTCTGTCTAGCTGTAAATTTGTATCAATTAACCAACCTCTCCCTATCCTCCCTTCCCCTCTACCTTTCTCAGCCTCTAATACCGACAATTCAACTATTTACTTCCATGGGCTCATTTTTTTTTTTCAGTTCCCCCATGTGAGTGACATGATGTGGTATTTATCTTTCTCTGATTGACTTATGTTGCTTAACTAATGTACTCCAAACTTATTCAAGTTATATGCAGAGATTTTTTTTAAATGATGTAATTTTAGCTCTAGAATTTCCATTCTTATAGTTTCAATTTCTCTGTTGAGATTCTCTGTCTATTCATTCATTCGTTTTCCCCATTTTTTCTTAAAATATCTCAACACATTTATGATAATTATATTCAAGTCCTAGTCTGCTTACTCAAACAGCTGAGTTATTTCAGAACCTGTGTCTATTAAGTGCTTTCAATCCTTATTACAGGTCACGTTTTCCCATTTTTTTCCTTGTCTTGTGGGTATTACATTGTAGATACTACTAATTTTTTCTTCCACTGAAGAGTGTTGATTTTTACTTTTAACAGGTTGTTAAATATGTTTTCTTTGTGGTGGGTAGTAGCTCAGTTCTTTCGACCTTATATTTCTTGCTTGCTTCTAGGCTTCTGTGCATTTTTGGTGTTCCCCATTCTGTGTTCCCCTTCTTTTCCTGATTTTCCCCATCACTTTCTAGATGCTCTTGCAGTCCTGATGAAGCCTACTTGCTTGCCTTTTTTCCTCATTTCTTCCTTGCTTGCTTGCTTCTAGCTTTCTTTTTGATCTGTAGTCACTCCTTGCTGTCCTTGAACTGGAGTGTCTCCTATTAGAAAAAAAAATACTGTTTACAATTAGATTCTATCCAGCGTAAACCCCCCCAGTTTCTGAGTTTGTGCCTGCTTTTGATTATTCCCTTGTACCTGTAATTAGTGCTTTTGTCGGTTTCATTTTGTTTTGTTTATATTTGTTTGTTTTACTTTTGTCTGGATTTTATAGTTATGTATGGCAGGATTGATATGTTGCAAGTTACTCCACTTTTGGTGGGTGGTGGACCTTATTCATTTTTCAAGCACATATACCTTTTATTATGTGTTACTTTGTTTAAGTATTAACTCAAAATAATACACAAGGTTAAGTACTGTTGTTTTAACTCAAAATAATATACAAGGTTAAGTACTGTTATTTTCTTCATTTTATTAGTGAGGCAAATGAAGCATGTAATGTTTACCTAACTTTCCCAAGTCCACACAGCTATTAAGTGGCAGGGGCAGGATTTGATCCCAGCAGTGTGGGTGCTATGATATGCCACATTTATAGCCAACTGTTTGTTCTAACACAAACATCAATTTCCAAAATTGTTTGGGTTTATAAACTTACATCTAATGTAGCATATGGGAAAATGACAAATCTACATAAAACGAATACATAGTCCTGAAAGGGTCTATGAATTGCATTTATAGTTGTCCTTTTCCAAGTATCGACAGCAGTTCCAGGATAAGTGGAACACATCTGAACAGAAGAAAGTAGATTTCTGATTTCTAAAATAATAATTTGTTTCTAGCAAGCCATGCTACACAGGAGAATGGTTCAGTATATGGCTGAGAGAAGACATTACAGGGAGGAGAAATAAGTTTTACATTGTGAAAGATGACAGAGAAGAGAATTAGGTGAAGCGGTGCATACTAGTCAAAGTGATGGTAACTAAGTTAAATGAGAAGACAATGTAAGTTAGGAAATGTGTGTTAGGAAAAAGCATTCAGGCAGATGTGTTTTTTTTTTGTTTTTTGTTTTTTGTTTTGAGACGGAGTCTCGCTCTGTCACCCAGGCTGGAATGCAGTGGCGCCATCTCAGCTCACTGCAAGCTCCACCTCCCGGGTTCACGCCATTCTCCTGCCTCAGCCTCCCGAGTAGCTGGGACTACAGGCGCCCGCCACTACGCCTGGCTAATTTTTTGTATTTTTAGTAGAGACGGGGTTTCACCGTGTTAGCCAGGATGGTCTCAATCTCTTGACCTCGTGATCCACCCGCCTCAGCCTCCCAAAGTGCTGGGATTACAGGCGTGAGCCACCAGGCCCGGCCAGATGTTATTTTTATAAGCAAAATTTCAGAAATATAAAATAATTGTGGAGACTTTTTGAGGTATCTGGAGGAAAGTTGTTATATAAGTGTGACTTATTTTACTTCTTGCTATGAGGCAAAATATTACTTCAAGAAATACCTTTAGCAGGAAGATTTTTTGAATAGGATTTGGAGGTCATATTAGCATTTCATATCAAAATTGGGATAAATCAGCAAGTAAAATCCAAAACCTCCTAATAAGTTTTCAAGGACTTTGTAAAAGTTTGCATTAAAAATTTGATAGTTGTGGGGCAGGCACAGTGGCTTACGCTTGTAATCCTAGCACTTGGGGAGGCTGAGGCGGGAGGATTGTTTGAGGCCAAGAGTTCAAGACCAGCCTGACAAACACAGCAAGATGCCATCTATTTTAAAAAAGTGAAAATAATTTGATAGTTTTGAAATAAATACCAATATCGCCCCTCCTGCATAGGACAGTTTACGTAATGTGAAATTCGAAATAGTTTTCAGCTAACAATTATGAATTCCTTTTTCTTTTTAAAAAATGTATTTATTATTTTAATTGGCAAAATAATGTCAATGGTGTACGACATGATGTTTTAATATATGTATGCATTGTGAAATGGCTAAATCAAGCTTATTAACATATGCATTATCTCATATACTTATCATATTCTTTTGGTAAGAACACTGAAATTCTACTGTCTTAGCAATTTTAAAGTAGACAATACATTGTTATTAAATGCAGTCACCATGATATATGATAGATCTCTTGAAGTTATTTCTCCTGTCTAACTGAAATGTGTCCTTTTACCAACATCTCCCCAGTCTACTACTCCAAATGAGAAGATTATGATTAAGCATTTTTGGCACAAATACAACAGAAGTAATGTCATGCTCTTTCCAGTATATCATTTCTGGAGCTATGTGATGTCAATATATACTATTACTGGTGGTAGTAACTTCAGTCTCTTAGTTAAGCTTGCATTGGCCAAGGTTTGTTTGTTTGTTTGTTTGTCTCTTTCTCTGTGAAGTTACAATTTTCCCTTTTGTCATTAATGATTTATGAAGATACTATGAGACTATGTAAATATCACATTTCTCATACTTTTACCCATTTATTTTCGTTATCATGATTCCTGCCTGTAACAATTATTATTGTGGTGTTTAAATAGTTATCGTTTTCTGTTGCTGTCATGCCTTTTACATTTATTGTCTGGAATTCTACTGTAAGGAAGAGCTGCCCTTTCCCCCATCTCTGTTTATTTATTTACACAATTATTTATTTATGTCAATATGGAGTCATGGATATTTATTCCCAGATTTGGCTGTTAGTGGCTCCAACAAGTTGGCCCTTGTGTACCTTTCATCACACCTCCATCATTTTTGAGCCCTTTGTTACTTTCTGGCACCACAAAATCAACTTGGTTCGTGTTATCTTTTCCCCACCCCAATCCTGGTATCAACTGCTTATCCAAGGATCTCTAGTTCTTTTACTTGGAAAGTAGTATTTACAAGCTAAGATCTAGGTACCACGTTTGTCAATTTACTGCTGCTGGGATGTCATTGCTTCTAAAGCTTTCATCAGAGAGAGCTAAGAAATTGTGTGTGTGTGTGTGTGTGTGTGTGTGTGTGTGTGTGTGTATCCTCACGCAAATATCTCTATTTCTAAACCTATTGTTTCCTATACATAATAATATCCATGACTTCATACTGACTCTTACAATTGCAATAAAGCACCAAGTGTTCATTCTAGTTTTCTTTCTTTCTTATTTGTAACTATTTTCTCTAATGGGGAGAAACCTGACTCTGGTCCACAGTGTATTTCTTTATTTGCTCATTTATAAAATAAGGATAAAATAGCTTCAGAGTTTTAATTCACACTCCTGTGAAAGCAAATTTTCTAACTAGAGTATTTGTGTACAGTTTTTGTTTTATTTTGTTTTCATTTTGCTTTGCCTTACAGGATACATTTACTGTTTTTCAAACTTATTTGTGTTAATTCTTTTTTCTCCTTTTTCTTTAGCGTAGTTACAATTTTCATTCATAATATAGTTTGGTTTATTTATTACTGCTTTTTATTGTATTTTTGGTTCCCATATTTTTTATTTTAATTATTTCGAAATTTAATTTTTATTTACTTGGGGAGTATGTGAATCTTTAACATAGTTTCAAAATCAGAGCTATATGAAAATGTTCTATGAGAAAATTGTCACCCCCCTATACTTAGTACTCAGTTCTCTGCCCCCATTCTTATTGCGTTATTCCCACTCACCTCTTATTAGTAACCAATCTTGTTAGATTCTGGCTTTTCCTTTCCAAAATATTTTTGAGTGTATATTGTATGTACTCTCTCTCTCTCTCTCTCTCTCTCTCTCTCTCTCTCTCTCTCTCTCTCTCTATATATATATATATATATATATATATATATATATATCCTTATTCTTACATGAATGGTAGCCTACTATAGGTACTATACCTACCATAGGTACCTTTTGCACTTTGACATTTTTCACTTTCCAATACATACTGGAAATAAGTCTATATCAGTTCATAGGGATCACCAAAATTCTGTATTCATTTTATAGGCTCCTCACACTCATTTGTGTATATGTGCCATAGTTTATTCAGTTATTTTCTCTGTATGATCATTCAGTATTTTTCCCAATATTTTGCTATTATAAAAAATTTCAATGAGTAACCTTCTGTGTATGTGTTTTCATGTTCTTATAGGTACATCTTTAAAGTAGATACCCCAGTTGGGCTGCTGGTTCAAATGTTAAGTGGATACGTAGCCTGGTTAGGACTTCCCATAGGTTCCCTTACTTGTAAAAAAAAAAAAAAAAGAGATAATAATACGTTCCTATCATAGGTATTTTGAAGATTAAAAACATAGAATATATAAAACATCTTACATATAGGAAATACTTAGTACTGCTTTAGTCCCTTGACTCTATTCACTTACTTCTTCAACATTACACACATACACACGGACACATTCACACATATATGCAGTTACGCACTGCATAACAAAGTTTTGGTCAGTGATGGACTACGTATACAATGGTATTCATTCAGTAAGCAAAATCTAATTTATTATTGAAGAAAGAAATTTTGTATAAATTTAGTGAAGCTGGCACGTATAGTGTTTATAAAGTCTACAGGAGTGTACTGTATATCCTAGGCTTTCACATTCATTCACCACTTACTGACTCAATAAAAATTACATATTTTATTATGTATTGCATATTACATTATTACATGAACCTATTATGTAGTGAACAGGATAGAATGTTCAACAGATTTGACTCGGGCCATGCATGCTTCAATGGGTGGTTCTGGGATTCTCATGTGTTTGCTCCGTGATGAAGAATTAGATGTTTTTCTTAAGAGTTAAGACATGACTGAATGAAAACCAAGAGGTAAGATGCAGAGAAAGGTATGGATGCCTGGTAAATAGAATTAAAATGATTGAGAAACTTAACTTAAAACTTGCAAATAAAAATTTAAATGTGGCTACATGGAAAACTAATTGAGATACTCTTTTTTAGATTTTGTCTATTGACTTTAAGAAGCCACAATCAATAAAACTCCAGTTTCTTTTTGTACATAGTAGATCCATATCTAACATTTCTAAATCTTACAGGAGTATATAAATAAATGGGGGAAATAGGTTTTTTTTTTTTAATCAATATCATTTAGCTGGTCGGTATTCAGTTCAATGTATCCAACATGAAAAAGGGATTCGTTAACATCTGACATTCCATTAGCGTATGTACAATAGAAGTAGTACTGATGTTATCAAAGAGCTATGTTATAATTCTAAGATTTTATTGGATTCTATTATTTTAAAAATATTAGAAATGACACTCATTAGATACTACACTAGATTAAACATGAACATTATTATCCTCTTTTTAATAAATACAATTATAATGCTGTAAATGCCAAAAGGATTAACTGGATGTGTGAATAAGTCACTACCACATATTCATTCAGACAAACTTTGCATAGACTTTTTGCAGATACTAATATTAGATATGCTTTTAGATATGAACTAGATACTGAATTCATAAGCATTTTCATTACCTAGAGATTAAATCAATCAAAATGCCATAGAACTTTTCCAGTTGTACTTCATCCATGAAGAACAGAATTTTGTTATCTTAAAAAGAACAAATGATAAAGAATTATTTCTGGTCCTGGATCATTATCACATACATAGTAATTTTTTAATAATTGTTTTTCCACTTGATTCCACTGAAAGGAGAATTCATTACATTCTAAAATTTACCAGTCATCATCTGATTGGAGTATACTCTCTTTACTACCATTAGTTCATTTTAACAAGCGTAAGATTGTTTTCAACTGTGGCACTCTTTCACATCCAGCTGTATTATATCTAATTGAATCAAACTTTAAAAATTTATTTCATTTGTTTTTTTGTCCGTGACATTAGGCAGTCTGTTTAAATAGGTTATGCACATTACTTGTAAGTCTGTATGTAGTAGCTTTTTCAGCAGATATCAATGCATTTTTTCGTCCTTCATTATTATGCACAGTTTTTCTTTACTCATAAATCATAAGTTTGAGTGCTTTTATTTGCAGAAAAAAACTCTTGTTTGTATCACAAATTTAAAATACAAAATAATTGTATGTGTGTGTTCGTATGAGAGTGTTCATATGTGTCCTATGAATAAAACAAACATTGAGTGCCTACTACGTGTATGGCATTGTGCTTAGCGAAATGTTAGATAAAATCTATTTCTTTATCATTGTGAAAATGTGACATAAATAGATTCCAAATATTTCTGTTTTAAAATCTTTTTTTGGCTAAAAAATGCAATGCATTGAAGGGATAGATATCTAATTTTTCATAATAGAATTCTTATGCATTGCATGCCTGTATCAAAATATCTCATGTATCCCATAAATATATACACCTACTATGTAGCCACAAAAAATAAAAATAAAAAAATTAAGCAATGCAAAATTGAACAAGGTAGTTTTCACACCCGTTACGTTACAACTGGTGTTATTAAAGTTACACCTCATTTATTCAGAAATCAGATCTTGGCACCTTCAAATTATAAAATGGGGTGCCCCAAAGCAAGAATTTAGAATATAATGAAATGTACAAATTCCTGGAAATATAAAACCTCTCAAGATTGAATCAGGAAGAAATTGAATAATTGAGCAGACCAATAATGAGTTCTGAACTTGATTTAGTAATAAAAAGCCTACCAACCAGAAAAAGCCCGGGATCAGACTAATTCACAGCTGAATTCTATACAGAAGAGATGGTTCCATTCCTACTGAAACTATTCCAAAAAAATGAGGGGTGAGGACTCTTCTCTAACTCATTCTATGAGCTCAGAATTATCCTATTACCAAAACCTGGCAGAGACACAACAGAAAAAGAGAATTTCAGGCCAATATCCTTCATGAACATAGATGGAAATCCTCAACAAAATACTAGCAAACCAAATCTAGCAGCGCATCGAAAAGCTAGTCTACCACAATCTACTTAAGCAGGCTTTGTTCAACATATGCAAATCAGTAAATGTTATTTACCAGATAAATAGAACTAAAAACAAAAACCACATGATCATCTCAATAGATGCAGGGAAGGCATTTGATAAAATTCAACATCCCTTCATGTTAAAAATTAAACATCCCTTTGTGTTAAAAATTCAACATCCCTTCATGTTAAAAATCCTCAACAAACTAGGCATTCAAGGAACATACTCAGCCAACGTCATACTGAATGGGCAAAAGCTGGAAGCATTTCCCTTGAAAACGACACTGAGAAAAGAATACCCTCTCTCATTACTCCTGTAGCACTGGAAGCCCTAGCCAGAAGAATAAGGCAAGAGAAAAAAATAAAAGGCGTCCAAAATGAAAGAGAGGAGGTCAAACTATCCCTGTTTGCAGATGATATGATTCTATACCTAAAAAACCCCAGAGTCTCTGCCCAAAAGCTCCTTCATCTGATAAAAAATCTTCAGCACATTTTCAGGATATGAAATCAATGTACAAAAATCAGTAGCATTCCTATACAACAACAACATCGAATCTCAGAGCCAAACCTACAATGCAGTCCCATTCACAATAGCCACAAAAATAATAAATACAGTTAACCATGGAAGTGAAGGACCTCTACAATGAGAATTACAAAACGCTGCTCAGCAAAATCACAGATGACACAAACAAACAAACAAAAAATACATTTCATGCTCATGGATAGGAAGAATCAATATTATTAAAATGACCATAGTGACCAAACCAATTTATAGATTCAATGCTATTCCTATTAAACTACCAATGATATTCCTCACAGAAGTAGAAAAAAAGTGCTTTAAAATTCGTATGAAACTGAAAAACAGCCTGAATAGCCAACGCAATCTTAAGAAAAAGAACAAAACTGGGAGCATCATATTACTTAACTTCAAACTATACTACAAGGCTACAGTAACCAAAACAGCATGGTACTGGTACAAAGATAGACACATCAACCTATGGAACACAATAGAGAGCCCAGAAATAGTGCCATACACCAAAAACCATTTGATCATCATCAAAATAAACTGAAACAAACAATGGAGAGAGGATTCCCTATTCAATGAGTGGTGCTGGGAAAACTGGCTAAGCATATGCAGAAGATAGGAACTGGACCCCTTCCTTGCACCATATACAAAAGTCAACTCAAGATGGATTGAATACTTAAGTGTAAAACCTAAAACTATAAAAACCCTGGAAGATAACCTAGGAAATACCATTCTGGACATAGGGCCTGACAAAGATTTCATGATGAAGATGCCAAAAGCAATTGAGACAAAAGCAAAAATTGAGAAATAGGACCTAATCAAACTAAAGAGCTTCTGCACAGTAAAAGAAACTATCAATAGAATAAAGAGACAACCTACAGAATGGGAGAAAACATTTCCAAACTATGCATCCAATGAAGGTCCAATGTCCATAATCTATAAGGAACTTAAGCAAATTTACAAGCGAAAAACAACTCCATTACAAATTGGGCAAAGTACATGAACAAACACTTTTCAAAAGAAGACCGACATGCCACCAACAAGCATATGAAAAAATGCTCAACATCATTAATCATAAGAGAAATACAAATCAGCACCATGATGAGATAGCATCTCACATCAAACAGAATAGCTATTATTAAAAAGTTAAAAAATAAAGGTACTGGTGAGGTGGTGGAGAAAAGGGGAATGCTCATATACTGTTGATGGGAATGCAAATTAGTTCAGCCATTATGGAAAGCAGTTTGTTGATTTCTCAAAGAACATGAAACAGAATTACTATTCAACCCAGCCATCCCACTATTGGGTATATTCCCAAATGATATGGGTTGGATCTGTGTCCCCACCAGATTTCATATCAAATTGTAATCCCCAGTGCTGTAGATGGGAGGTGATTGGATCATGGAGGTGTTCTTCATGAGTGGTTTAGCACCATCCCCTTGGTGCTGTCCTCTGGATAGTGAGTGAGTTCTCATGAGATCTGGTTGTTTAAAAGTGTGTAGCACTTTACCCCTTGCTCTATCACTTGCTCCTGCAATGTAAGATGCCTTCTCTTGCCATGTAAGACTCCTTCTTCCCCTTTGCCTTTCACCATGATTGGAAGCTTTTTGAGGTCTCCCCCGAAACAGAATCCACTATGCTTCCTGTACAGCATGCAGAACCGTGAGCCAATTAAACCTCTTTTCTTTATAAATTACCCAGTCTCAGGTATCTCTTTATAGCACTGTGAGAACAGACTAATACAGAAAATTGATAATAAGGAGTGTGGCATTGCTATAAAGATAGCTGAAAATATGGAAGCAACTTTGGAACTGGGTAATGGACAGGATTACCCTGTCTAAAGTGGCATTCAGCCACTTCAGATTGAGCAGTAACAGGTCTGTGATGCTCTTAGATGTCTGGGGCTGCATGCATGCCACAGTGACTGGCTGTCTTCTTCCCTTGGTGGATGCTTGCTTCAGCTCCTCTTGTCATTGGACATCAGACTCCAGGTTCATCTGCCTTTGGCCTCTGAGGCTTGCACCAGCAGCTTGCCAGGGGCTCTCAGGCCTTTGGCTGCAGACTGAAGGCTGCACTGCCAGCTTCCCTGGTTTTGAGGCTTTCAGACTTGGACTGGGCCACTACCGGCTTCTTTCTTCCCCAGTTGCATTCAGCCTATTGTAGAACTTTGTAATCATGTGAGATAACTCTCCCTAATAAACTTCCTTTTATATATACATATATCCTATTGGTTCTGTCCCTCTGGAGAAACTTGACTAATACACCAAGGAAATATAAATTGTTCCACCATAAAGACGCATGCACTTGCATGTTTATTGTAGTACAATTTGCTATTGCAAAGACATGGAATCAACCTAAATGCCCATAAACAGACTGGATAAAGAAAATGTGGTACGTATACACCATGGTATATTCTGCAGCCGTAAAAAAAGAATGAGATCACGTTCTTTATAGCAACATGAATGGAGCTGGAGGCCGTTATCCTAAGCAAACTAACACAGGAAAAGAAAAGCAAATACTGCATGTTCTCACTTACAAGTGAGAGCTAAACATAGAGTACATAAAGACACAAAGAAGTGTACAACAGACACTGGGGCCTACTTGAGGGTGGAGAGTAGAAGGAGGGCAAGGATTGAAAAACTGCCTATTGAGTACTATGCTTATTACTTTGGTAACAAAATAATCTGTACACCAAACCACTACAACATGCAGTTTTTCTATGAAACATACTGGCACATGTGCACCTGAACCTAAAATAAGTATTTTTTTAAAAAAGAATATAAGGATCCTAGGCATGCAGCATATTTGCATGATATTCCAAGAGGAAATTGTTTTTACCTTGAATGGCAGTATAAGGTGTTGGTTAAAAGCTGGCTTAATATCCCGGCTTTCCCAAATTCCAACTCTAAAAAAAAGGAGCTAAATTAATTTTTTATTGTGCTTAATTAAAATTACCTTTTGCAAGTTTTGAGTTCCTCAACCATTTCAATTCTATTTACCAAACACCCCATCTTCCTCTGCATCCTCTTGGTCAACTATGGCAGCATATTTACATATAAATACATGTACCTATGGCACACAACTTCTGATAGCTCCATCTAATGATTTTTGAAATTTACAATGGTGTAAAACCGATACACAATAGGTAGGAACTGTACTTCGAGTGCCCTTACAAGCATTCTGCTTTTCACTTTTAGTACAGTGTTCAATAAATTTTATAAAATATTCAATACTTTATTATAAGATAGGCTTTCTGTTAGATGATTTTACCAACTGTAGGCTAATGTTGTGTTCTAAGCATGTTTAGGATAGGCTAGGGTGGCCTGGTGCGGTGGCTCACGCCTGTAATCCCAGCACTTTGGGAGGCCGAGGTGGGCGGATCACTTGAGGTCAAGAGTTCGAGACCAGCCTGGCCAACATGGTGAAACCACGTCTCTACTAAAATCCAAAAATTAGCTGGGCGTGGTTGCAGGTGCCTGTAATCCAAGCTACTCGGGAGGCTGAGACAGGAGAATTGCTTGAACCCAGGAGGCGGAGGTTGCAGTGAGCTGAGATCGCACCAATGCACTCCAGCCTGGGCCACAGAGCGAGACTCCCTTTCAAACAAAAAAAGCCTATGATGTTTGATAGGTTAGGTGTATTAAATGCATTTTTAATGTGTATTTTCAATTTATGATGTGTTTATCTAGACATAATCCCATCATAAGACAGCAAACATCTGTAAGTCACTCAGAATAGTGTACACACATAGGGTGTGTGTATATTTAACTTTCAAGATGCTTGATTATCATAAGCATTTCAACATATAATCTTGCATTTCAAAATATGCTTCTGTTATCTCATTTAATTAGTGATAGTCATAACTAATTTACAGAAAACCTCTCTTTTTCATCATTTTATAGATTAGGAGACTGAAGCTCAACCAATTAAATAATTTTCTTAAGTATAATTAGCAAGTAAAAGAATGTGGTCAGTAAAACAGAAGATGACTCTAAGAGCAGTTTCTGTTGATAACTTAAAAACCAAGGGAGTAGGGGAAAGGCCAAAACAAAACAACAAAAACCTCAAAAGCCAACAGAAAACTGGCTATGACTCACCTACTTACCTAAGAGTTGAATAGATTTGCGTAAGGACCATACTGCTTTATATTATATAAAGGGGAAGCAATTATGTTAAGCAAGTACTGCCACTTCCTCCTCCTTCATCCATTAAAGTCTTGGTAAATTGCAACATTCATCACTTTACCTACATGAGGACATGTAGTCATTTCTTACACATTACTCCATGAATCTGTTTTGGGGTGTTAGTGTTAGAAGCACAGAGTCTAGAACCACAGTCTCTAATATGAGTCCTTATTACCTCTATTGCTTAACATATCTGTGCCCCACTGTCCTTTGCTGTGATATGGAGATAATAATAGCACCCACTTCAAAGGATTGCTTTGAATCTTTACGTCTTTCTAATTAATTGTTCTTATTACCCCCAAGTAAAGGGATTTGACAGTAAAATGAATCAGATTTTCTCTCCTAGGTTAAAATATGTTAAATAAAATAACAACAAAAAGGCTGGCGTGTGTATAATACATTTAATGTTGGCAAGATGGCCAATATTAATGCACTTTTTTAGTTAAAATGTAAGCTTTAACTATATGAAAACATTGCTAAATTGAGATAGTGGAATAAGGTATTTGTTATCTTTCAAAAATATAACTAATATTATTTTGGGGCTATATTTTCTTATGGGTAACTGGCACATTTTTCTGTAAACCATTATTGCTAAAGTCCATAGCTTTGAATTTCTCTTTAAATCTGCACTGGTCCCTGCTCCCATATTTCCGTCATGTTGTTTTATCTATCAGTGCATTCCTACATTTTGAATGCATTTTGAATTCCTACATTCTGGAAAAAAAATTTATATAAAGAGGAGAAAAAGAACAAATTATTGTTTTACTTTAGAGTTTCATAGTCATTCACATATTTTGAGGTAAATATTTGGACAAGAGAACCACAATTGAAAAAACACTGGGGCCTATACAAAATACGTAATTCTTTTCTAATCTGAATATTTTGAAAAATTTTGACCTTCTTTATGGCCAAGAACATCTATTTCATATGATACGGTATACCAGACTAATTTTAATTTGTATGTTTCTGTTGGTCACAATCATCAAGTAATTATGTTTATAATTATATATACAAGCAATACACTTTTTTTTGTTTTTGTTCCCGTAAGTTTTCCACACTTTTGCATGCTGTTCCAGTACT
Source organism: Homo sapiens (assembly GCF_000001405.40). Taxonomy (NCBI): domain Eukaryota; kingdom Metazoa; phylum Chordata; class Mammalia; order Primates; family Hominidae; genus Homo; species Homo sapiens. The sequence continues at coordinate 34,219,382 of NC_000023.11, forward strand.
CCAAATCTTAAAACAAACAACTGAAAACAAAAACAAAAAAACAAGGATGATTAAATAAATTAACTTTCTATATCAGTGGTCTATTCTGCATTAAAAAAAACTTAAAACAATAAAAATTTACCATTACATATTAGTCTGTGGTTGAGCTGAAACTTCTGCTGATCTGAGCCAGGTATGACTGATGTGGAATGACTTGCTCATATGTCTGCATTGAGCCAGTGAGTTGGCCAGAGGCTGGTTCTTACAGGATGGTCTCATTCATATGTCTGATGACTGGATGGATAGGTGTAGGCAGGGGCAATAAGGGTGACTGGTATCTCATCATTCAACAGATTAGCCTGGGCATTAGCCTGGGCTTGATCACTTGATAATGAATGATTCCAAGAGAATGAGTGGAAGCATACAATGTCTCTGGTTCTAGCCTCAAAACTGGCACAACGTAATGCTTGCTGCACTCTATTTGTTAAATAAGTCGCAAGAACACCACAGATCCATGTGGTAGAAAATAGACTCTTTCTTTTGGTGGAATGAGTGACAAAGTCACATTTCACAGGTGCATGGGTAGAAGAACAGGAATAACTGGAGTCACAATTGCAAATGATCCACAATACCCTCTTATAGATGTTTGACTATTTGTGCACTTACCTTTATATACTTACTTAAAAATTCTAGAGGAAGTGAAAATCGAGACATACTACTTGGATTTAGAAATTCAAACTACTTTGTGATGGAAGAAATGGTCTGTTTCTTATTCATACATAAAGTTCATTATAGATAAAAATGTTATCACCTGGCAAAATCAGTTTATTTCTTAATTTAATGCCTCTTAGTTACCAAGTAGCTGTTTACAAATAATGAACACACACAAGAAACTTTTATGTTGAATACATAAATAAGAAAAAAAATGAATAACTACGTCTTATCTAATCACTATATTTTCTTTCGTGTAATGCTACTAGTATATTCATGAAACTAAACATTTGAAGATAAAAATACTTTGTATGTGCATTTTAAACACTATGAGAGACTTCCTAAATTATTTAGCATATTACTGCCATGCTCATATATTATTCTACATACTTCAAATAACTATATTGGTTTGGAAATCCATAATACTCAGAGATTTCCAAATTTCACCCATTGGAATACTTAAATATGTATTATTTGATAGGGAACATTCAAGTATATCCAAATATATTCTAAAAACCACCATAAATATTTCACAGGTGTAGAAGAAATAGGTAGTATAGGATGGGTTTTGCTGCATTAATAGACATCCCAAATATCTCAATGGCTTGATCCAATAAAATAATTTCATGCCAAGTATATTGTACATCTCCCTGACATTCCAGGTCAGCTATGTTGGCTCAAATTTCCAGGATGCACAAATGTTATGATACCTTGTTTTAGGCTGTTCTTGCATTGCTATAAATAAATACCTTATGTTGGGTAATTTATAAAGAAAAGAAAGTTAATTGGCTCACGATTCTGTAGGATGTGTAGGAAGAATGGCACTGGCATCTGCTCAGCTTCTGGGGATGCCTGAGGGAGCTTTTACTCATGGCAGAAGAGGAAGTGGGAGCAGGCATCTCACATGGCAAGAACCGGAGAGAGGCGGGAGATGCCACACACTTTTAAATGACCAGACCTCCCGAGAACTCGCTATCGCAATGACAACACCAAGCCATGAAGGATCCTCCCCCAAGATCCAGACACCTCCAACCAGGCCCCATCTCCAATATGCGGGGTTATTTTGTTTCAACATGAGATTTGGGCAAGGACAAATATCCAAACTATATCATACCTCCATGAAAGTCATGAAAGAGTCAAAAGCAGGTTCACGAGTCAAACTCAAGTTATCCATTACTTTGATCTGAAATTAGTACATATTACTTCCATTTACTTTGTATTAGCCAAAGCAAGTCATGTGGCCACTCCTGTCTTTGCAGGGTGTGGAGTGGTGGCAGTAAGATGCAGTCCTTGCACTCCTTCAGTATGTCTGTAAGGAGAACTGGTAATATTGGTGAACTGAGCTAATGTCCCCCACTATAGCTGTTATTAATTTGGGTGATTAAAAAAATCTTAGTCACACTTTTTCAATAGGAAATTTACAGACTTGAATTCCCCATGAATGTGAGAGAAAAGTGACATACAAATGATGCTCTTCTGGCCTAACAAAGAAAACATAAATTTGCAGCTTTCAGGGAGTGCTATCAATTTAAACGAATTGCTAGGAGTATAGTTATTAAGTAAGATATTTTATCAGAATTCCAGGCTTTTTAAAAATTAAAGTTTATTTTTAGAAGGTATAGCAACTACCTTGTGTTCAGGGTGTCTTAAATATTTTTATCACATGTAAGGAAAGTTTTAAGCAAGGAAAGCTTTAAGACAGCAGAAGAGTGTCTATTTTGTATCCTATAGAAGGGACTATTTTCTCTTGATTTTGTGGAGGTTTCTTTTACGGAAAAACTAAAAAGCTTTTTGTTTTTAAAGCCAAGTAGTGGATTTAAAAAGAAAGAAGGCCAGCAAGAAAAGTGTAAACTTCTGTAACATGGTAAAGAAAGGGCCAGAATGAGATTAAAGTAGAGCATAGGGCATATAATCTTCTGCATCTACACTGATGATATGGTGTATATTAAGTTTTCCTATGGTCATATTTTTCTCTTGATCATCTCCCACATTGGATGCAATAATGTCTAAATTCAGAGAAATTATGCTTTAATTTTTCAGTTATTGTACAGGGAAGATCTCTATAGAACACATGCCAGTCAACTAGGAAGGGTAAAATATTAATATTTCCATATCCATAAATGCAGAATAACAGATATACTAATCAGATTATCTGGTCATCAGCTATTAAGAAATAAGTTGACATCATATGAAGGAGGGCAAATGAGCAATACAAATCTGGTACTTGTTTCTTAATATTTCAGAGAAAAGGAGAAAAGAAAAGGCCTATATACGAAGGGGACTATAATGAATCATTTGGTATTCATATGGCAGCAAAGGAAAAATGTTTATATGTGAGAAGAAATGATAATGGTGGTGAAAGGTAGCCTAGTTGCCCTAAATATAAGACACAGACTTCAACATTTTGCATAAAATGGACCTTGGTTATTTTATTTCAGTCTATTTTACTCCAATCAAATGTTGCTGCTCTGAGATTTAAGAATAGTTTGCCCTTAAATATGATAATCCCAAAGTGAGTAGAATTAGCATGTATCTGTTTGAGGTTTGACATGTATAAACTTTTTGTCGTCATCTGTTTATGTTAATAACATCATTTTGTTAAAATTGGACAAGAGCTGTAGAAAGCACTTGTTGCTTATTTATTCTTATTTACTCTCTTAGCTTGGTTATTTTAAAATACCATATTTATTTATGGAGAAGTTGCTTGTTATACTAGACTTTTCAAGTGTACCTCACTGACAGGAACTTGACCCAGGAAGAAAATTGTGTGTTTGTGTCAGAAAATATTAATCACATAGAAATGTAGATTCAGTGACCTTCATTGCCCTATCTTTTCTCGGATCTCATAAACTGATTTTGGGACTCCGATGGCAAATTTTAATGGAAAACTGCTATAATTGCTTGTAGGCTTTAGAGAGTCAGAATGCAACATCATGCTGTTCAGTCAGTTCAAATCAACACCCACTACACTATTAGATCTATATACAGGCCAGCAGATAGGCTGATATTACCAGAGCTGCAATCTCTTAGGTGATAAGGTATAAATCAAAGCTTAGGAAGCTATATGTAAGGGAATATACAACTCAAAGCCCTTTCTGTTTGGCAATATTAAGATACCACATTGTTTTTCACCCCAAGTGAGGTGAACTAGCCACGGAAAAATTCAAACTTCTAAATATTTGTCATCTTTCTGGAAAAAAAGGGGCTAGTTATGCTCTGTTAAAAAAGTGACTACTTAAGCGATTAACATGACAATCTTCATTGAATTTTAACTTATATTGCCAAGATGCAAGTTTATCCTTCACATTTTGTTGCTAATTTTCAACATAAATATGTGTATGCCAAGTGTTTAAAAATAATACTCTACATTCTTAGATGTGACAAATATGGCATGCACTAATATCTAAGAATGAAAGGGAAGGTTACTCTGAGAGGCTAGATGTGTGTGCTAGTAGGAATCAAATCATTTTTTTCCTCTGTCCTTACTCTTAAGCTACTAAAACTCAGGACTTCATATTTTTTTATGTTATGTTGATGTTATGATCTACAGTGCCAGAGAACCCAGCCTATTAGCCTTAAGCTCATCCATTCTTGCTGAGTATGCTTCTTACACTACTGGCCATTTTGTAAACATGTCCCATTTGTCAAAATACAGACATGGGAGGTATAGATTGCTATTCATTGCATGTGCTGAAAAAAACTGCTGACCATGGACATTTTATTGAATGCCTCTGCAACACCATCTTGAAATATAACAAATCGTATATGAGAAAGTAATAAAGAAGGATTGCTTCAAATTTGTTAATTTACCTATTTTCCTCAAGCACATGTACGTCCATTGTCCGAACAGAAAGAGAAAAAAGCAATATCTTTGGCACTAGCTTCCAGTGGATTCCCTGGAGCTAACTGTGTAAACAACTGCTGTCTCTGACCTTTTGTTGCAAGCATTTACAAAAGTAGTACATTTTAAACATATGTTGAATATAAGGCTTTATGTTCTGCAATGGGTATGTAGCAGTAAATGAGGCAGATATAATCTGGGAGTCAAATGTTATTAAACTCTAGCAGCTCTGCAAGGTACTTTATAACATGAGAAACACACCCAGCCACCCACCCCTATTCCCCAAACACAGAAATATAGTTGGTAAAAAAAATGCAAAACAGCAAAGTGTCAGTTCAATTGGTGAGCATAAATTCATTACCACAGGCAAGTAATTTCATGGCTATTTGAAACACAAGAAATAACTCTAGAAGTAAAGAAATATGAGTGATGGAGAGTTGTACCTAGAGAAGCTCTCAGCCTGGAATAATACATTTTACACAACCCACAGAAAAATGCAAATAGAAAGATGTTGTTGGATATGCTCAAGCGGAATGGTGAAATAAAACCGGGCAGAAAAAAAAGACAATCTTAGTCACTTAATACTAAGTGTTTTGCCAGTACACTGGTGAAATATACAAATAGTTAACAACAGAAGTGCTGAACTTCATATGACCATTAAGATTATTCTTTGATATTTATACATAATTTTTCAAGCCTAATACCTTTAATTCTATAGAAAATCCCCTTTCCTCCCCAGATTTATGCAAACAGCATAGAATCTTTATTCTCATGGTAAATTCTTGTTCCTCCTACTTTCCACCAACAAACTTTAGATCTAATATCTTATTGCTTTTGCTAAGTTATGTGCAAATGTGAAACTCAGCCTGTATTCCTTAATTACTGAAAAAAGCACTTGTTTGTATCATCAATGTATGTAGCATATTTTAAAGGGTGTTTATTCATGAAGATTTCTATCAAATAATATCTTAAATTTCCATATTAATTTATGTTTGCAAAAGATTTTTAAACCCCTTCCGCAGGTATTTTTCCCACTGGCAAGCTTTCTCAGAATAGATGTTCTAAAAAGATTGCTGGGTGTCGTTAAAAGAAAACTAGGCATTGTATAAGCACATACTTCTGGACTTTCTGACCCATATAGGGTCACTTTACCTTTCCTAGTTTTTGAGCTCTTTGACAACTCTGTTAGTTGTAGAAACTGACAGCAATATGAATGATTCTTGTCCATAATCATACCAATATATTTTGTCCATTAGAAATGCAATTAATCTCTCTCTCTACAAACCACTGTTACATTTCATTATAAATATATTTCAGCATCATTTAATGCTTATATATGTGTGGTTCTTTGAATGTCCTTTGAACTAGTTGCAACATACTAGTTACTGGTTCCCATATCAATTAGCAAATTTAAAAGTATGTTTGGCATGTGCTCATTCTATATTTGTGTGAGAAAAGATTATGAACTCTTGAAACTGTAACTTTCAGGATCTAATACAATTTACTAAATTCATTCTGTCCTTCTAGATAACCCATCTACCCCTGCTTCTTCATTTTCAGAAATTTTTTGTGTGTACTATCACAGAATCAATTACCATTAGACTTATTTGAATAATATATCCAAGGATGTATTTTTGTGCACACTTAAAAACCATAATACCCAGGTTTCTACTTTAAGCATCTGAAAATAATTTGAAGAAATGATAAAATTCTATATATTTTCTAAAGTTCCGTATGTTGTTCTCTTTCCCCCATTAGTGTATGTAATTTGAAGAGAGCAGAATAGATATATACTTCCTATTGATACAGCTTATGCCATGGCTATTAGAAATAAGAAGTATCAACCATGTAGTCTGACTTTTTTAACCCTGATTCATGCCTGCAGTATATATGGAAGTTTAAGTTGTTATATGTTGATATGGGATTGATTTTATAATGTTGAATGAGTACTTCTTAAATAATTTTCTTATTTTATTACCTTTTTGATTTCTAGAATTGAAAGAATCTCTAATTCTTAGATGTCCTTCAGCCAGGGGGCCTACAAATACAGGCCAGCAATAAAAATAAAATGATAAATCCTTCTCCATCTTTTTTTTCTTTTCTCCTGTGGGAGCCTTCTCTAGGATGACTCATGTCCATTCTTATTCTAGGCAATAATGAACCTTACTACAAAGTTGTGGTCAGTTTCATTTTGCAAAGCCATAAAAAGTTATGAATTAATCACAACTTTATAGTTTGGAACATTATTCACCTATGTTTAGAAGCTCAAACTTTAAAGTTCATCAGGGGAACCCGCCCTTGATAATTCATCGTTATTTCATGTAGGTTCTTTTCTATTTCCCTAAATGTTGGCCGGTCTGAGAAATAAAGGGAAAGAGTACAAAAGAGAGAAATTTTAAAGCTGGGTGTCCGGGGGAGACATCACATGTCAGCAGGTTCCATGATGCCCCCTGAGCCGTAAAACCAGCAAGTTTTTATTAGCAATTTTCAAAGGGGAGGGAATGTATGAATAGGGTGTGGGTCACAGAGATCACATGCTTCAAGGGCGACAAAAGATCACAAGGCAGAAGGTCCGGGCGAAACTAGAATCACTAATGAACTTCCATGTCCTGCTGTGCACGCATTGTCAGGGTTCAAGAGCAGAGAACCGGACTGACTAGAATTCACCAGGCTGGAATTTCTTAATCCTAGCAAGCCTGGGGCCACTGCAGGAGGCCAGGGCGCATTTCATCCCTTACCTGCAACTGCATAAGGCAAACATTCCTAGGGCGGCCATTTTAGAGGCCCCCCCGGGAATGCATTCTTTTCCCAGGGCTGTTAATTATTAATATTCCTTAATTAATATGGCTCTGTCCTGCCCGGCCCACAGGCAGCCAGACTTTAAGGTTATCTCCCTTGTTTCCTGAAAATCGCTATTATCCTGTTCTTAAGGTGCCCAGATTTCATATTGTTCAAACACACATGCTCTACAAACAATTTGTGCAGTTAATGCAATCATCACAGGGTCCTGAGGTGACATACATCCTCAGCGTACAAAGATGACGGGATTAAGAGATTAAAGTAAAGACAGGCATAGGAAATTATAAGAGTATTGATTGGGGAAGTGATAAATGTCCATGAAATCTTCACAATTTATGTTCTTCTGTCACAACTTCAGCAGGTGCCTCCATTCGGGGTTCCTGACTTCCCGCAACAAAGTAAGAGAATGTTCATATTCATAGGAAGGAAGAACTGACAGGATGGCTGAAATCTCATGTGACTTGAAAACTTGTTATATTCAACTGTAATCATAAGTGTACCCGAACCCATATCAGTCTTCACTCTGGCCATCAACACAGTAGCTGTATTAGAGTAATGGAAAAATATAGTGGAAAAATGAGAACTGTTAAAAGAAATTTAACTCGTACAGATTTCACCTTCCTTTAGGTACTTTGCTATTAAATAAAATGTGAAAGAATATAAATATATGAACATGAAGATAATATTAAAAATAATCATTTTTTAAAACAATGGGATATATGTCTTCCTGTCTTCCTACATATAGGAAACTCTGTTGGCTTAAGAGGAACTGCCAAAACATTATTTATCTAGTGACCAAATAACATGGAAAGATTCCTTAAATCGTGAATTAATATAAGAAGTGCTCCTTTGAAAAGTAAAGCTATTGCTTACAAAATCTAAGAAAAAAACCCTTTATTCAGGTTATAAACCATATGATTATATTTATCTTTTAAGTTTTCATGAAGAAAATGTTCATAGTTTTAATGAAAATGAGAAACTGGAATTGAAATGTTATATTATTATAGTCAAAAATGAACTGCATATAAATTATACTGATTCAAGTTTCTATTAATGCAAAAATATGTAATTGGGTCATTATTATTTATAAAACACAATAACAAATGAAACATTTAGCTTTAAATGCTTACTGTAGCATATATTGAACTATGAATTAACTGTCCATTTATCAAAATAAATAGAAAAAGCAAATACTATGGGATACAAGGGTAAAAAATGAACACCACATGGACTGAGTCTATCTATGTGCTGACTGTGACACAGCGGAGTCAATAATTCCATCTTCAATTCTGCTTTGTTGGTCACAGCTGGACTAATCATGCAATAAGCTGCACAGATCATAAAGACAGCCAATATAATCATGTAGGTCAGGAGGGTTGCCCATCAGTCTGCTTAATGTGAATATGATCGGAATCAAAAGAAGCTGGCCACAATGAAAGAAATTACCTAGAAATGTAGATCAAAGAGATATAATCAGCATTAGTAATTCATCCCTGAATACAAATGCAGAATATAGACTATTACTTTTCACAGAACTTTCAACTAACCCTGCTTTGTCAATGTACAATGATCCTTCATGAAGATTTTCTTACACAGAGACAGCTTGGAAGTTTCCAGAAAAATTGACTGTCAAAAAACTTAACTTGTCTTAGGTAAAGATTGATCATTTTATTTTTCTTTTAAATCATTGGAATGGGAAATATTCTATTTCTTTTTCACAATCCTATACTCACACACACAAATATACACACACATGTATGTACAGAAATTCATACATACAATACTCTTACTCTGTTGTGCTGCCTTAAAGAAGAAAACTAAACCCAGAACCAGAAGTAATCCTAATGTTATTATAAAAATTTGCAAAATATTCATGAAGATTATACATTTTAAAATTTCAGATTTTATTTTAGAAGGAGTATTTCTTCTGGACAGATGTATTTACTAAAATTGATGTTTTGCTTTGTTGTGTCTGTGTGAAAATAAGTGTTTTTTAATGACGTAAAATTTGCACACAATAAAATACACTTCTTAAGTGAACAGATGGATGAACTTCGAAAATAGCATACATGTATGTAATCCATACAGCTATCAAAACATTGACAATGTTGAATTTCACCAGGGCTCTATGATTCCGTAAACAGCTACGATTAAATCTCTTTAATCATTTATGTTCCATTTGGCTTACTGCAAAGAAACACCATTCCTCATATGACTTTGATAAGACACATATATGCCCCCTCTTTACCTATTACAAGGCTGGTCACAGACCCTTCCAATTTCCATTCTTTGTCTCATAAATGATTAACCAAACACTTGTCCCCACTTAACAATTGGAACAAAATCCTTGTTAAACAAACTTGGATTTAGTTTCTCTCCTTTCCTAGATCCCTGAACTTTGACCTACCTTTACCCTGAGCCAGTATAATGCCCCTCCTTATCAGCCCCTTCTGAAAATAAGCTGACTTCAGGGTACAGCATTCTCTGGTCTACTATCCAAGCACAACACCCTTTTTCATACCACTTTCGCCAGCCTGCTTCTCTCTAGCCCTAGCCTTTGTTACTTCTCTCTTTAAATAAAAGCTTTGTTTCTAATAAACTTTGAGACATTTACAGATCTCATGGTTCCAGTGATCTTCCTGTTGCAATAGTCCCCTTCCTTCATTGCAATAATCCTTTCAACCAAAGTCCCTGCAACCTAGGTCTACATTTGTTTTTATTTGAGAACATAGAACATTTTCTTTACCCCAGGAAGACTCCTCATTTCCTTCCCAGTAAATCCCTGCCCCATCCTTTAAAGAGGTAAATCCTGCTTTGATTTTTTCTTTTTTAAGAAAAAAGAAACATTTTAAGAAAATGTGTTGCAACACTTCTAGAACTTGAAGTGTGATAATGAAGAAAGTACTTTTGTACCGCTTTCTTTGGCTCAGTATAACAGCAGCACTACTGCTATTATAGTATAGATAATTATTAATATTTGTCGTGGAGATTGTCTTGTGCACTGTAGGATGTTCAGCAACATCCCTCTAGTTTTCTGAAGCTCCTCTCTGAACACTTTCCTTTCTCATCCGTATCAAGTCCCTAAAATTAGAGTTATGACAATAGCCTGGAATGATAATCTATTTCTGCTCTGCTCAAGTAGTCCATATTTATTTGTTTGGACTCCACTTCCTTTGGTTGCAGTCTAGAAAATCATTATCCTCAGCAAACTAACAGGAACAGACAACCAAACACCGCATGTTCTCATTCCTAAGTGGGAACTGAACAATGAGAACACATGGATATCACGTGCGTCCATGTGAAGAGACCACCAAACTGGCTTTGTGTGAGCAAGAAAGCTTTTTAATCACCTGGGTGCAGGCAGGCTGAGTCCGAAAAGAGAGTCAACGAAGGGAGATAGAGGTGGGGCCGTTTTATAGGATTTGGGTAGGTAATGGAAAATTACAGTCAAAGGGGGTTGTTCTCTGGCGGCAGGGGTGGGGGTCACAAGGTGCTCAGTGGGGGAGCTTATGAGCCAGGAGAAGGAATTTCACAAGGTAATGTCATCGGTTAAGGCAGGAACCGGCCATTTTCACTTCTTTTGTGATTCTTCACTTGCTTCAGGCCATCTGGATGTGTAGGTGCAGGCTTGGGCTCAGAGGCCTGACAATGGACGCAGGGAGGGGAGCAACACTCACTGGGGCCTGTTGCGGGAGGGCAGAGTGAGAGCATTAGGGAAAAGAGCTAATGCATGTTGCCCTTAATACCTAGGTGATGGGTTGTTAGGTGCAGCAAACCACCATGGCACACGTTTACCCATGCAACAAACATGCACATCCTGCACATGTGCCCCAGAACTTAAAAAAAAATACTTTTTTTTTTAGAAAAAGAAAACATCTGTTGTCAGAAAGTTGGAGAGATGGCAGAGATCATCTTGTTTCTCTTCTCTCAAAGATCACAGTCTTATTCTACTTATTGTCAAACATCTAAACAAAGTTATTTGATATTTTTTATTGTGGGGGTTAGTACAATATCAGCTTCTCCTCCATGGCCAAAGTGAAACTCCTATTAAGTCTATTTTAACTGGGCTTTCTACCTTCCCTAATAAATTATTTTAGAGTCTTAATAAAAAGATATTTGAGTAAACTGGTGACACCAATAAAATGGTAAAGATTTAGAATCTTTTGTGTAAGTTTAGGTTTATTTTTCAAAGTAATTTTTATATTTTAGTTCAAGTCTAAGATTCATAGAAGTAAATTTACAAACAGGCTAATTCTTAATAACTGAAGATATAATTACACATTGATTCTTTTCCTTTTCACACACACTAACATGAGTTCCTCTGCCCATGTTTTAAAAATATTAATTGGTGTCTTTACCATATGCCTAGAGGAATTGAGTCACAAAGGGTGTCATAGAGAAACACATTGGAGGCTAATATCAGCAAGCCAGTGAATTAAGTCTGATAGGTTATTAAAATGTAGGTACCAACATGGCTATGAAAAATTAATGATAAAACTATTGGGTAGGCCGGGCGCGGTGGCTCACGCCTGTAATCCCAGCACTTTGGGAGGCCGAGGCGGGTGGATCATGAGGTCAGGAGATCGAGACCATCCTGGCTAACAAGGTGAAACCCCGTCTCTACTAAAAATACAAAAAATTAGCCGGGCGCGGTGGCGGGCGCCTGTAGTCCCAGCTACTCGGGAGGCTGAGGCAGGAGAATGGCGTGAACCCGGGAAGCGGAGCTTGCAGTGAGCCGAGATTGCGCCACCGCAGTCCGCAGTCCGGCCTGGGCGACAGAGCGAGACTCCGTCTCAAAAAAAAAAAAAAAAAAAAAAAAAAAAAAACTATTGGGTATAAGAAAGCAAGGAATACAATAATAAGCAATGTTTCAGCCAAAGAATGGAATAAATTAGCATATATAAATATCAGGGGCCAGTAGCACTTATGGTATGCTTTTTCAAACTTAAATCTGGTGTCATTTTTAAAGGGTGCTATTTCTGGGGGAAATGAAACACTCCTCCATTTAAATAATTGATGAATCCCATTAATTCTGTCTTCATAGAATATCCTTAATCCATGTTTGTCTCCACATTCTTACTGTCACATGTTATATCTCATATTGTCCTTGGTTGATATAATAGTCTCTTATCAGGGTTCTTTCTTTCTGATCTTTTCCCATTCTAGTGTATCCTACATATTGCTGACAAATTTAGATTTTGTAGCTAATTGTTCCACAAACTTTTAATGGCTTCCCACAAACTACAGAATAAAGATTATATTCCATAGCCTCAAATTGCATATGCTGTTTAATTTGAGGCCAAATGATCTTTTCTGCTTCATCCTTATACTCTGCTGAGTCAACCTACTCATTATTCCACAAATATGCACATAAGCATGACACTGTTGTTCCTTCTGTTACTTATTCCCACTTTGTTTGTTATAAGAATCTTTCCTCAACCACATTAAAGAGCAAGAATGGAGTCATATTTATCCTTGTGTTGCCAATATAGCCTAGTCTCAGATGAAGTTCAGCAAATGTGGTGAGATAGAGTTCCCACTCTCAGTTCTTTGAAAACTAGGATTTTTATGATGTGTGACAGCTCAGAGCAATGTGTTATCTCAATAATGAATCTTCATTGAGCTAGGTAGGTTCTAGGCTTATGATCCATCTAATTCCACTCCAAGTACAAATTAGACAGATATTGTTTTTGTGTTCCAGATAAATATTACACAGATTTCTGCCAGAGCCAGAGGAAACTCAGGTAGCAAGATTGTTATCACATTCCCTAAGTTTTAATTCTGAATGTCAGCCTGTTTCTAATAGGCCTCAGTGAACTAACCAGGAGGACATATTTTAAAAATAAATAAATGAATAAATAAACTTTGAACCCATTTATCTTTTGCCTAAAAGAAACCCACTTCACCTATAAAGACACATATAGACTGAAAATAATGGAATGGAAAAAGTTATTCCATGCCAATGGAAACCAAAAAAGAGCATCACTTGCTATAGTTATATCAGACAAAATAGATTGCCAGACAAAAACTATAAGAAGAAACAAAGAAGATCATTAGGTAATGATAAAAGTTCAATTCAGCAAGAGGAGATAACAATTTTATGTATGTATGCATCTAACACTGGAGTGCCCATATATAAAGAAAATACTATTAGACCTTAAAAGAAAGATGGACCCCAATGCAACAATAGCCAGAGATTTTAATACCCTACTTGCAGCATTGACCAGATCTTCCAGACAGAAAATCAGCAAAGAAACATCAGATGTAATCTGCAATATAGACAAAATGGATCTAATAGATGTTTTCAGAACATTTCATCTAAGAGCTACAGAATACACATTCTTTCCTCAGCATGTGAATCATTCTCAAGGATAGGCCACATGTTAGGCCACAAAACAAGTCTTAAAACATTCAAAAAATTGAAATAATATCAGCATCTTATCTGACCACAATGCAATAAAACTAGAAATTAATAACAAGAAGAATTTAGGAACCCCTACAAATACGTGCAAATTAAACAATATGCTTCTGAATGACCAGTGGGTCAATGAAGAAATTAAGAAAGGAATTAAAAATTTTCTTGAAACAAATGATAATGGAAACACAACATTTCAAAACCTATAGGATACAGCAAAAGCAGAACTAACAGAGAAGTTTATAGCTACAAGTTCCTACATCACTGCCACCTCCACCTCCCAGGTTCAAGCGATTCTCCTGCCTCAACCTCTTGAGTAGCTGAGACTCCAGGCATGCACCACCACGCCCAACTGATTTTTGTATTTTTTTTTTTTTTTTTTTAGTAGAGATGGGGTTTCACCATGTTAGCCAGGATGGTCTCGATCTCTTGACCTTGTGATCTGCCTGTCCTGGCCTTTCAAAGTGCTGGGATTACAGACTAAGTATTCTAATATTTGTTATATATACAGGAATCCTGATCACCCTTGGGAAGTGATTTTCCTGAGTTTGATCACAACCCAACTTGATAGCTATATGGCAAGTAACTCTTTCACTTGCCTTTCTTCCATGCCACTCTGGTGTATTCATCAAAAAGTACTTTTCCCTTGTCAGCTACTGAGACTTCTATTCTCTATGATAAAAGATTCCATATCCTTATTCCAAACAACTTGCTTACCAATCCCATCTTATCCAGATCCATTAGTGAACCTCCTTGCATTATATTGTAACAATGGCCAAACTACGTAGGTCTCTCTTGAAAACAACATGACTAATTCATATTATATTATTCCTGTGAAATTTATACATAAAAATGCTACTTGTACTCTACCCCAAATCCACAATTTCCCATGACCTATGGCTTTCACTCCTGATATTTTTTGCAATATCAACAGCAGTACTGTCCTCCTAACCAATCAGAAACTGGAGGAGCTACAGGGTATCTATTAATTTCTGTAAGACATCTTCTAATACACAAGAAAGTAACACAAACCTTATCTTCATAGAACCCCTTCATAAGAAGAAATGCATGGCTCATCTGATATTTACAACATCCCCTCCCTTCCAAACCCTGTACAACAATTTATTGGATCATTCAAGTTGATAAAATTAATTAGCTATATCACATAGTTTCTTCAATTTTTTCCAACTACTAATATGTAAATATGGCACAATATCTCACTGGATTCACAACCAATCCAACGTATGAAACAATGAAGTTGTTCAACCCAGAAGAGTCAAGTTTTTCATCAGGTGGACTGTCCATGCCACCCTAACCAGACTGAAGGAATTTGAAGGACTGAAGGTTTCAGCTCTGTTACTGACTTCTTAAAGCCATAAAAACTCTTCCTGATTCAAGTGTCTGATGAGAATGATTCCAACAGCCTCTCCCCCTCCTTCATTTTTTGGTCAATCTTTACCCAAATCTAAATTCCTGTCCCAGTAGTCTTAATCTCTTAGAATTATTGTTAATTTTTGGCTCTTTGGCATATCCAAACTAAACATTAACACAACCCAGAGAAGAATGCACAGCATAGAAAGAAATAGGAGCTATATTTTATTCCCTCCCAGGAATGATCTGTTTAAATATGCTCTTGAGTAAGACATATATTGAGCAAAACGAATATTTCTTTTAAGCTGGAATGTCCTTTTTCTATATACCATAGTCCAACTAATATGAATATATATATAAAGTTATTTAAAGTTTTATAAAATAGTCAAGTTGTAAATTTAAAATTCTCTTCAACACATATATATACATACCAACACACACAAAATAAAGAATTAAACATTTCTAATAATGATTATATAAAATCCACACTTACCATACACCGTATGTTGAGTTGCAGATTCAGAGATAATATTAACATGTGAACATGTATGTCAAATTGTTAGTAATTAGAAAAATATGTGCTAGGTGCAGCAGCTCATGCCTGTAATCTCAACACTTTGGGAGGCTGATGCAGGAAAATAACTTAAGGCCAGGAAATCGATACCATCCTGGACAACATATCAAGACCTTGTCTCAACTAAAAATAAAAAATAAAGAAGTTATCCAGGCATGGTGGTGCATGCCTGTAGTCTCACTCAGGAGGCTGAGGCAGGAGGATCACTTGATCCCAGGAGGTCCAGGCTGTAGTGAGCTGTGGTGGTGCCACTGCACTCCAGCCCGAGTGACAGGGAAAGACCTTGTCTCAATTAAAAAGAATAATGAAAAGAGAGAAAATCACAGGAGTTCAGGAACAATGGGCACACATGTATTCTATTTTTTTCATCATTTTACCTACAATGAATATGTGAAAGAACCATATAGAAATTCCATCATTGTCAGGTATTATGAAGTTTTGCTACTAATCAGGTTTTCTGAGTTTTTTAAGTTAAAAGGGTCTTAAAATATTTTATTATTATCATATTGTCAGTAATTCTCTTCCACATGCTAATATTAAAGCAAGTTATATAGTAAGAATACCAGTTAAGATTCTGTGTTTGATAATCCTCTATGGTTCCTACCCAGTGAGAATGATATAGGACTACAAATACCCAGATTCAATTCTATTCTATTCCATTCTAAGTGGAAAGCAATTCAAGAGAAGAGCTGCTGTGCTCTTACCAGGGGTGTAACAGGGCCCATAATTCCTTAACTCTCATTGAAATACTTTTTTCTAGGTTTTATTTCAGCATAAGTTATTTCAAAAAATAATACACATATTTTAAAAGATATTTCTACCAGTAGTTATTAAGCAAACACTCATGGAACCTCCATTTAAGTCAAAAACAATATCAACCACCTGCCAGAAAATTTCAATTTATTCCTTATTAATTTGAGCACCTTCCTTAAGTTATCTTAATATTTTGGTAATAATTTCCTTCTTTTCCCTGTCATTTTAACACCAGTGATGCATCACTAACTGATATTTTATTCCTATGGTTATAAAGTATAATGTATATGTTGTTTCTCATCCTTTTTTGTTCATTATTTTGTTGCTAAAATTCATCAAGTGGTGTGTATCTATAGTTCATCAATCTTCACTAATTTTATTTATCCATTCTGCTGTCCTGAGTAATTGGGATGTTTCCAGGTTTTTGGCGATTAAATTCAATATTATGAATATACTGGATATGTGTATCTGGTACATATAAGCACTTAGGTCTCCAGGGAAACACTAATATAACTGTCTGCATTGATTTAAATGATCTATTTGTCCTGTCCAATATAGTAGCCAATAGCTGCTGGTGGCTATTGAGCATTTTAAATACAGCAAGTGAAACTAGGGAACAAAGTCTTAATTTTATTTCATTTCATTATGATTAAATTTTATACTTAAATAGATACATGTGACTAGTGTCTGTCATTTGATACCACTGACTAACTTGACAAGTATTTTAATATTAAAGATCCCTGGACTTGAAAGGTGAAATAAGTACTTCTGATTGCACAAGAGAGTTTACAACAAGAAAATTAAAATTAAAATTCAGGACTTTAAATAATTATCTCAAGTGACAGTCAAATGAACAGAGGGTTTATATGTCAGCCTTAAAAAACCATCTCTTATTTCTTATAACATCAGAAGCAACATATCTAAAAATAGGACCCCAAATTAACTGCAATATTTGTAAAATTGCAGTGAAAATTTAATTCATAGATTGTCAAGTTTCAGATGTAAAATTTATAGCATCCATTGGAAAGTAGTGGGACTTTAGGAATTAAATGTGAATATCTTTTAAAAAGAAATCTAAAGATGAAAAAGATATAAGAGACTTAGACTTTCAAGTCTCCCTGATGTTCCCTTGCTGCTGGAAGCTGACTCTCCTTCTGCCCTTGAAGAGACTAGGCTTTACTTATGTTAAGGCAATATAATAACATCAACTCAGGCAGCTGTTTTGCAAGTAGATACATATTCTCCTCAAGTCTCATCACAACCATTCCTTATTTGCTATAGAACTATAAATAACTTTAGACAAGGGTATGCTCTGAAGCAAAAGTGCTAAGTTAGACCTAGAAAGAAATACAGTGTATTCCAAAAGTATTTCAGAAATTGGGGAAATATTTGCAAGAGTAGATTCTGAGGGAATCTCTGGTCTTGAAGCAAGTAGGATATTATAAATTATTGGGCTAGGCTCAATTTACTGATATGGATACACCAAGCAAAAATTTGAGATGACATATATTAAAGTGAATTGGAAATGACTCTAAGAATTTATTTCATTGGTTAATTGAAACTTGGACTTGTGAAGGCTTTTATTCAATGATGTTGAGATGCTAGAACTTTTATGGCATACATTAGTGAAAGAAATACAAAGATTTAGAGAGATAGGGATATTGTAATGGCTTTGTCATGTACATATTAAATATCTATCTCTACCACTATCTTCAATAAGTCCCAGAAACCATGCCCTTTACTGAGGATCTGTGAAATATAGTCATGCATTGCTTAACAACGGGGATATATACTCGCAAATATGTCATTTGAGGGTTTTGTTGTCATGCAAACATCATAGAGTGCACTTACAAAAACCTAGGTGGTATAGCCTACTATACACCTAAGCTATACACCTAACCTAAACCTATTTGTTCCTAGACTATGAACCTGTACAGCATGTTACTGTACTAAATACTGTAGGTAATTGTAATACAACGTAAGTAGTTGTGTATCTAAACATATCAAAATATAGAAAAGGTACAGTGAATATATAGTATAATAGATTAAAAATGATGTATCTGGATAGTGCAGTTACCATGAATGTAGCTTGTATGACCGGAAGTTGTTCTTAGTGAGTGAGTGAATAGTGAGTGAATGTGAATGCCTAGAACATTACTGTATACTACTTTAGGCTCTATGACCACAGTACACTTAGACTACACTAAATTTATGAAAACGTATTTTTCTTCCTTCAATAATAAATTTACCTTAGCTTACTGTAAGTTTTTACCTTATAAACTTTTAAATTTATAAAGGTAGAACGAGTACTTTTGATTGACAGGAGAGCTTACACCTTAAAAGGGGTACTTAAGTACTTATTCCAGCATTTTAACTTCTTGACTCTTTTGTAATAACACTTAGCTTAAAACACAGACACATTGTATAGCTGTACAAAAATATTTTCTTTCTTTATTTTCTTATTCTATATGCTTTTTTCCATGTTTAGTGTTTTTTATTTATTTATTTTTACTTTTGAAACTTTTTTGTTAAAAACTAAGACACAGACACACACTTTAGCCTAGGCCTACATAGGGTCAGGATTACCAATATCACTGTCTTCTACCTCCACACCTTGTCCCCCACTGGAAGGGCTTCAGGGGCAATAACATGCATGGAGCTGTCATCTTCTATATAACAATACCTTTTTCTGGGTACCTCCTAAAGGACCTGCCTGAGGCTGTTTACAATGAGCATTTTTTATAAGTAGGAGTATACTCTAAAATAGCAGTAAAATATAGTATAGTAAATACTAGGTGATAGAAATATTTTAGCTCCTGTATAATCTTATGGAACCACTGTGGTTTATGCAGTCCATTACTGACTGAAACATCAGTAAGTGGCCCATACTGTAACTTCAGGTGGGAACTTCAGCTTCTTGGAAATGTTCTGTGGTATCTTTCTTTTGTACTGCAGATTGTAGGAGATGTCACCATTAGTCTACCAATTTCAGTGGGGTTAACAGTATTTCAGAGTGACAAAGGCTAAGTTACAGTGTTTAATGATCTTAGACAAGGTGGACACATTTAACAAAACGGACAGCAGAAACAAAATGGTAATTACAATATTTTGACCTATAGGATCTTTGGCAGTAGGATATTCATCAAATAAATTTTATATATGAGCAGTCTATAAAAATATTACTTCACCTCTATAACAAAAAAATGTCTAGGCCTTTTAGCCAGAAACTGGACTTGAGTTGTCAAATGGTGACTCACTCCCACGTTTCTGGACTTAAGCCAGTTCATGAACTTTAGGCCCTTGGACTGATAGAGAGTCCGGGCCCCCTTGAGGAAGAGCCCTGCAAGACTGTGAATATTTCTTGAAGCCATCTCCAACATTATCTAAC
Organism: Homo sapiens; assembly: GCF_000001405.40. Classification (NCBI taxonomy): domain Eukaryota; kingdom Metazoa; phylum Chordata; class Mammalia; order Primates; family Hominidae; genus Homo; species Homo sapiens. The sequence continues at coordinate 34,239,213 of NC_000023.11, forward strand.
GTCATTTACAAAGGTTATTGCATACTGGAGAAAGAGAAATATCCAGATGTTTCAGAGATTACTAGACACTCATATGAATTGACAATAATTGCTGGGAACCAAAACTATCTCTCTGGTCTATTAGTTAAATAAAAACATGGAGGTTAGGGATAAGAGTAGAATTGACCTAAGTCAGTCTCTTATAGGGCCAGTAGAGCAAAAACTCACTCTGTGGCTATGTTTTTCCCAGTTCTTTAATGTGTAATTACCTCCTTCAACCATAGATGACAGTGAGAATAAAAAGGACCAAATGCAAGTTGTTTTGACTTCCTCTCTTCACCAGGAAAATTAACCAAAAGCGCTTCTGATTCCCAGAGAAAACTGCTGAGTTGAGTCCTACCGTCAAAGACTTGAAAAAATATATATATTCAATTTAACTCATTTGTTTGCCCTGCACATATCTTGGAGACTGACTGTGTAACTGACTGACATCTGATTGTAAACTTAACAGATGTTGATTTAATTTACAGCCACTGTTACAGCTGTGGTACCTTTACTGGAACAAATCAACACAACTCTAGCATGGAGAAATAATTATCGATCTGGCAAATGCTTTTTTCTCTACATGGATTTGCGAGGCACAGTAGCAGAAGATCATTTTCACTGCATTGTTTCAGGGCTGTGTCAATGTGCCTACTTCCTGCCATAAGGAGGTTAACAGGATGTTCATGATGATATGCCTCAGAATACCATAGTTCACTATATTGATAACATCAAATTGACTGGACCTGATGAACAGCAATTAATAAGATATATTTTGGTAAAATACATGGGCATTTAGTGTATATCCCTGAGCCAATGGGCAGACAAGGAGGTTATTCCACTGGCTGAAGTGGTTATTTGAGACTGCCAAGAAAAAAATGGTATTGCTGATACATGATGGGAAAGAATAAGCTATGCTGGCAACCCAGCAGATTCTTTAGGATTCTCTATTACTTTATTGTACGATAGCAAATGCTAATAGAAAAGTTTAGCAACCAAAACACCCCCATAGAAAAAATGAGGAGTCAAATCTTTTAGTAATGTAGTTTTAGGTTATCCTGACAGGTAAAGAATCCAGATTGATTAAAGCTTTTCCTGAGGACAAAAATAATACGGAATAGTTTGAAAGAAGGAACGTATATCAACTCAGGCCTTTTTTAACCTACAGAAATAACAGACACATCAGATATGCATATTTTCTTTCTTGATTGTTATGTGTGTATATATATGTACATGTAATGATATTTTTTTTATCCCTTATCCTTTCCAGTTACTATTTTATATGAGGATCTGGGGTATAGTTAACTTTACTACTTAGTGTTTAGGTTACAGAGCATTTGGAATAGCTTGTGACAGAGCTAGAAATGGATTTCACATTGCCCAGGGACGCATACTTTATTTGTTAAGACTCTTTTAGGAAAGAAGAGGTGAATGTCTTTGTATAAAACATTGGCACATCTTGTTAGCAGAACCATGAAGAAGCCATTATTGCTGCTATGTAGAAGTTCAAACATGTGGTGTGGTTTATAATTTAATGCAACGTAGCCAAAGGGGAGGACTGTGTCAGTCACTTATGTAGCATACTCTACTCCAAATCCACCATTTAATAATATTTTACATGATAGGCCTGTGTAAAAAAAAAAAAAAATGCTTACCTTTGGCCAGCAAAGGCACTAGAGAAGATTGGAAGGCAACAGGAAAGAAGAAGAGATATCTTTGCTGTTCCTGCTAATAAAATAAATACCAGTATAAAAATTTTGCCTTCGTAGCTGCAGTTACTTGCAGCTTACATTTACTTTCTGAAATCCCAGAACTAATGGCATTGTTCCCTACCATTGGTGTTCAATGTTGTTGAAAAAAAAGGAATGAATAAATACATCAATGTCAGGGTTGAGATTAATTCAATATAATATTTATTCCAACTTATTTATTACACAGAAATTCTTGAGAAATATACTTGTTTACATCAAGTAACTAAGAGAAACAAAAATATTGAAGAATAAAAAATTAAGCATAATAAATATAAAGTTCAAGAAATCTCCTATTTTTCTTTAAAATCCACAAGAAATTATATATGTGTAATCTACATGTGGTAGTTAGGGAAGAGTTAAACAGCAAATTTCTAACTGTAGCAAGCAAATAGGGAAACATTTTCATTCATAATGAAAATAATGAAAATGCCATGAAGAGAAAGGTAGTTGAATTATGAGGGAAATATTTCTAAAAAACACTTAGCTAGAAATATATTTTTCCTCCACCTGAAAACATAAAAGTTCCATCATGTTTCTTATTGAAGAGACTTACAAAAATAATTATATGGGTGAACTACATTTCTAGACATTATTATACTTCATAGACTTTTACCAGAGCAATTAAGAACATCAGTAGGATAACATACACTAAATAAAATTGATGAACTTTAGGTAATCAAGTCGAGTTGACACTTTAAAAGCACTGAGTAATTACAGAGAAGAAAATTAGTCCATAGTCTAGCAACACGGAGATGAACCTGTTTGATATGGACTAGAAATAGACATAGAACTGAACAAATTGGGTTAGAGACAGATCCAGGAACTAAATACTTTGTGTATCCTGACTTCCAGTGCAATGATACATGAGGTAGGTACTGTACTCATAGAACCTATCGAGCATCTAGACAAAATGTAGATTCTTATTCAGTACATTCTACATTTCTAACAAGTTCTCAAGTTAAATGGATGGAGATGTAGAGGACTCTGCCTTACCATTCCTTTTCCACAATAAATACTACTATGACCAACAAATGAAATATAGTAAAAGATCATTGGTGGATAAAATACATAATATTGATAATATTATTGATGAATAATACTCCCGAATAAAAAAATGAATCTATCACTTTAGTAGACGTGAAGTACTTTCAAAATTTATAAATAATACATTTTAGGAAGCCTGCAAGCCTGGGTACCTTTTTCAGAGAATTTCCATCTTTAGCACACTAACAGAAGTGGGAATCTAAAATGCTTCAATACATAACTTCTTCCTGTGATTATGGCTAAACAGACCTCTTATCCAGGGCAAGACACATAGTTTCTGTCCTCTGGGAATTTGGAGGACAGATTCATTTATAACTTATTGTGGACACTAGTTATAGAAGGTCATGTAACCTCAAGGGTTGAAAGTGACCTCATTTGCATTTCAACATTATGGATTGTGGTCAATAAAAGAAAAGGAAGGCAGGATGCAGAGAAGGGAGCAACACAGACATAAG